>NC_000006.12:11423636-11575151 GCF_000001405.40 Homo sapiens
AGTGTTCAAAACCTCCTTGTGAAGAAAGAGGGGGAGGGAATTCATTTCCAATCAAGGTAAGGGGAAGTCAGCTCACAGGATCAAATCATTATCCCCAATCATTCAGTCCATCTGTGCTGTGACATTTCCCTTCTGACTGCATTTCCAACAAGCTGAAACACACCTATTTGGCAAGGACTCCTCTCATGCTGGCTGGGGAGCCATCATATTGCCATCACAGCTGGCTATGACAGGCTGCAGGAGTTTAGAAATTGTTCTTGACATGTTGGGAAGCATTTTTATGTCCTGTCATCACAAATGCATCATTTCCTTGTAAATAGTACTGCCTGCTCTCCAGTTCTTGCCATCTAGTTCCATGGCTTATTTTTCCCTATGACACTTACCACCACGTAACATGCTATATATTTGTGAATTTTCTGCTTCTATCCACCAGCATATAACGTCCACGAAAGCCATAGCTTTGTCTGTTTATTCACAGGTATGTTTCCAGCCCCAGGCACTTGATAGGAACTTAGTAACAATTCATTGAATGAAATTATGGATTTACGTACAAGAACAGTTAAGGAGAGTTAGAGAAACCTATGTGAAAGTCACAGTGCTGTAGTTTATTAGCTGTAAGATCTTGGGTAAGCTGCTCAACGTCTCTGGTTTTCAGGTTTCTCACGTATGAAATGGAGTAATAACATGTATCTTATTGAGGATTAGATGGTGGAAAACTCTCAACTAAGCACAGAACCTGGCTTATAGTAAGCATTCAAAAAAGGGTGGTTACTTGAAAAAATACAGTACTTTTTTAGTGACTCCTCACCTGGAAAGTTAAAACTCAGAATCCTCTCTTCAACTGTGAAGTTTAAACCTCAGGGTCGAGTCACATTCCTTCACCAGTCATGGGCAGTGACCTGGGCATAGCCCTGGTTTCCTGAGTCTCCAGGGCAGCAGGAAATTCCCAGCAAATCTAAACAGTCTTCAAGAATACCTTGTTCCACACACCGGGGCCACAGGCTTGCTTTATATCACAGCCCAGTGGGGACAACTTCGGAGAAGGAAGACGCACTCATGATACCCCACAGCATGGAGCTTTCAACAAACAGATGGAAAAATATTGGTTCAGCCCCTTCTAGCTGGAGATTGTTAGATTGGTTTTGCTGAATGGTGCTTTTCCCTTATTTGGACAGGTTGGGAAGTTGGGGACCTGGGGTTGCATTCCTGCACCCCACATTCCCAGCTCCTTTCCACCCTTGGTGTTGAAATAGGAGATTTGGAATGGCAACAGCTCACTCACCCTGCTCAGTCCCTGTGCTTCTGAAAGACAGATGTTCTTGGCTGGGCACAGTGGCTCATTCCTGTAGTCCCAGCACTTTGGGAGGCAGAGGTGGGTGGATCATGAGGTCAGGAGTTCGAGACCAGCCTGGCCAACCTAGTGAAACCCCATCTCTACTAAAAATACAAAAAACAGCTGGACATCTTGGTGGGCACCTGTAGTCCCAGCTGCTTGGGAGGCTGAGGCAGGAGAATCACTTGAGCCTGGGAGGCGGAGGTTGCAGTGAGCCGAGATCGCGCCATTGCACTCCAGCCTGGGTGACAGAGCAAGATTTCATCTCTAAATAAATAAATTAATAAAAAGATAGATGTTCTTGCTTCTCCTCCTCAGGCTTTCTGGAGGAAGCACACTTCTGAAAGCAAATAAGTACTAAATGTAGAATCTTACTAGTTCCTTAGAGCACACAAGGAATATTTTAGCAATACTTTTAAATAAATGGCATTTTACAAATGCAACACTAAACTGATAAGCATTCCTCACACCTCAAGAAGTGGGTATATGTTGCAGCGCTTCAAATGAGTCAGCGATATAATGTCACAAATTAGGCAAAGATATGAAAGCCTCTTTTAAATTGCGCTTTCATACATGTGAGATATTGTCGTCATTACTCATACTCAATGCTATATTTTTCAGATTAAGGAAAGGGAGGCAAAGGTATTTCAGAGGCAGGGTGGGCAAACAATGATTTCTATTCAAACACATGTGCACGCACAGTGTTTACAAGGCTCTCATGCACTAACTTCTCCCCTCTGGACAGAGAGTGGTCATGTGGGAGCCCTGACCCCACATAAACTGTGTCCATTCCTAGCTCTGGCCTTTGCTGACCCTCCACTCAGGAATGCTAGGAATGCCCTCCCTCTCCTTCCCTGTCCCCAGGCTCTCCATCTACCCAAATCCTGCTCAATCATTTGGACCCCCATCTTAGCACTTGGAGAATCCTTCCCTAAGCATTTCAGTGACCTACCTTCTCCTTACTCAAAACTTCTGTGACATGTTTGTGCTATCCTGTTTTTATAATTGGAAGTTTGTTTCTGTAACCAATTCCCTTCACCCCACTCCCCTCATTGCCTCCCCACCACAGACCCTAACAAGGTAGAGGGTATGTGTAATTCTTGCACAAAAAGGTTACAAATTCTTGTATCCCCTTTTTCTCTAATGGGAAGAAAGAATCTGAAATGCCCCTCTGGAAAGTGATGTACCCAGCAGACAGAAAAGCAGCCTTCAAAAGCTTCTGTAGGGCTTCGTGTTGCTATCTATGGTTCCATGGTCCTGACTGATCCTGAGTGTCCTAACCATGGGTTTTGGGTCCAGAGGACAGCCTGGAGTCCACTGGAGGGTGAGCAGAATTGTGGGGTGAGGAGGAATGTGGGGCAAGTGACACTGACACCTTTCAGTACATTAATGTGTAAAGCATGAATTCTGTAGAAGAGAATTACACTGTATTAGCATGGAATAGATTATGCTGTATTAAGAAAATGTGCCTATTTCTTGACACTGAAACAGATCACATGATCTCCAAAAGTAATGCTAGTTTTTGTAATGGGTGTGTGGGGAGTGTGTGTGTGTGTGTGCGCATGCACACATGCATTTGAATCCAGTTATCTGTGAGATAATAAACAAGTCTCTCTTCTGCAGCTCATGGTAGGGAGAACCCCCACAAGGAGACTGCACTTCAAAGTCCCTCCTGGATCCCATTCAGATCCAAAACTGAGCACCTGCTCTGTGCCAAGAAATGCTCTATGGAAATGAATCAGTTCCCACCATCCAGGAGGTCACAGCCTGCTCAGATGCAAAAGAACTCCATGCAGGCTAAGGTGCAGGGACACACAGCCTGGGGAGGCGTGGGGTGGGGGCTGATAGTTCCAACTTAGATGAAAAAGAAGGTTGCAACATTGATACGAAAGCTAGCTGTAGAAAAAATTCCTTCTCCTGGAGTGTGAACAATTTCTTGTAACTATTTTATTGAGAAATCTAATCTCATGAGGGTTTTTGTTTTTTGTAGCTCTCCTGACTAACTTGGTTTTTTGGTGTGTTTTTTTGTTTTTGTTTTTTACTATCTTTGAGATTATTGAGTTTAGCTGAAAATCCACAAAGACACCAAGGAAAGATCAGCTCTCCACATACACAGGGCCTGCTTGGGAGAACGCTGGTGTAGTCCAGGCCCCACATCACTTCTTCTCTTCCTCAAACTCTCTCAGTGCTCAGAAACCCCTAAACACACATACACATGCTCTCACATATACACATCACACACACTCCCCCACACCCCCATATACACCCCCAACACCACATGTGCACACACTCACATCACACATGTGCATACACACTCCACACACACACGCACTACACACACCCACACCACACACACACAGCCCTCACACCCCATACATACACTCCCGAAAACCACACATACACACATCACACATACACATACTCCCTCGACACAAACACCACATACACACACACCCCTCACACCCCATACATACACTCCCCAACACCACACATACACGCTCACATCACACATGCGCATACACACTCCACACACACAAACACACCATACACACCCACACCACGTACACACACACACCCGCTTCATGCCTGCTACATATACTCCCCAACACCACATGTACATACACACACTGACATACATCATACATACACATACACACTCCCTCTTACACACAAACAGACCACACACACACCCGTACACCACATACACACACACACAGTACACATCATACATACACACCCTTTGTGCTGTGAGGCCCCACAGTGCGAAGGCTGGTGCGTACCAGGCCCCTTGCAGTCTTCCTTCCCATGGCATGACTGCAAGGAGAGGGGAGATGGGGTGCTGGGTCTCCCGCCTCAGACCATTTTCAGCAAGAGCAGCCTCCTGGGGCTCTGAGACCTATCCCCCTTCCTAGTCATATCTTTATATCAAAATTAGCTGTAAACATAACAGTCCTATGACTCACTTGGAATACTACATAGGAAGTCAGGTTTTTGAACAATTTTCCCTTTTTCTAAAGGTTAAAATCAAGGCAGGAAATGCGGAGCATCACAGTACCAAGCCCGTGGGAATGGGGCCCACCCGGGTCCCTGTGCTCAGTCCGGCTCTCTCTGTAGTTCTCCCTGGCCACACCTCTCTGTTTACTCATAATTCTCTTTTCCTAACTACGTGGTGAAGTGGCGTCGGAAGTGATTTCAGATGCCTCCCTCCAGTATGCATTCTCCTGCCCAGTCTACCCTAGTCCACCTTTCTCAGGCTTTGCCCCACAGTTGGCCTCTTGCACTCTAGCCACTCTCTCTCTCGAAAATGCCCTGGGTCTCCCAATCTCCTGGCTGGACTCATCTGAACCCCCTTACCTGAAGAAGTAACCCCTTTCCCTTCCACACTTCCCTAGCTGCATCCAGTCCTACTCCCTCCTGAAAGCATTGCTAAAATCCTGCCTCCTTTATGAAGCCTCCCCCAGTCACCTAGCTTGGAGTATCACTTCTCAGCCTGGAAAGGCTTTACTGTCGTCCTGGGTGTTAATTTCATTTGTTTATTTGACAAATATTTGTTGAACACTTAGAAGGTACTAAAGACACCATGTTAGATGTGGGAGATACAGTGCTAACAGCAACACCATGAACAAGCTTCCTGTCCTATGATGAGTCCCCAGGCTGGCTGCAGGTTCTTTGTAGGGTAAAACTGGGTCTAAGAGCTCTTTGCACCTCTCAGAAGATACTAAGAATTCAATGAGATTTACTGGACCGATTAACTAACAAATGAATACATTCTTTTTTAACACAATGCCATGCAGAGTTTGAAACAACACTGTCAGTAACCCCTCTAAGTAACTAAGGCTGAATATGGAATGAATAGGAAAACATTTAGTCCTTGTTTTAAATATCAAGTGATTGTTTTCTGCATCAAATTTAGAATTCCGGTTTTGCCAAACACATCTCAGAGAAACAGGCTGGCCCCTGAGCCAGACAGCAGTTGTAAACATCTCTTCTTCCTGTTTAGAGACAGTACTGAATTCCAGAGCTGGACCTGTGAAATACCAGCGCTCCTCTCCCTCTAGGGCTTAGAAACGAATCCCTGAGGGTGTTTGTGTGTTTAGACTTCAGTGATGCCCAGTGCTGGTTGAGTGGTTAGCTCACCACACAAACCACCAGGAAAGGGGTTCAAAACAAGACAGATGGGACTTAGAGCAAAGGGAACACAATTACTCAACGGTCCAGAATCTCAATCCTAGAAGCCAAGTTATGGTTAGCCACATTGCTTCATTATTGACCTTGTTTTTTGGTACATATATTCTTTCTTGTACACTGTGTCTTTTTCTTTTTCTAATCAGCCTTCTTCCCACCAACATGGATTGTGCTGAAAGATGGCAAATACTTGTATGCTGACAGTTTTCTACAGCTTAAGACCCGGTTCTTGATGGGAGAAAAATAAACATCATCAGCTGCTTCCTTCCTAATAACCATACTATTTTAAGGGAACTTGAGATTTTGTTTATAAACTACACTGATGGTTATGTAACCAATGAGATCTATATTTCTGGCACATTTCCTTTCATACAGACTCAATTAAAATTTTCAGCCCTCATAGTAATCTTTACATTTTGTGGTTTACTTGACAACCTGGTGAACCTTGACATTTACCTGAAAGTCAGATATGCGTTTTAAGGTATCAGGAGAAAAAGAGTTTTCTTCTGAGGTAAAGGAGGCAGTGTGAGGTTGGTTTCCTGTCTTCAATTAGCATTAGATCATAGGTTTCTCGGCTGGGGGTCCCATGACATCAGGTGGCCAGAGAGATGGAGGAATAGCAGCTCATGAATCACCTGACAGCAGGGGGGATATGGAACAATTCTTTCAAGTCTAGCTGGGACTGTTAACACCCATGCCAGGAAGAGCTGTGTCAGTCTTCTGTAGCCCTGAGCTGGGCAAGGCAGTGGATTTCTGGAGAGGCCTCTCTTTGCATGCCTCAATAATAAAAGACTATCTTTGTCTTAGTTTGTTTTCTATTGCTATAACTGAATGCCACAGACCGGGTAATTTATTTTATTTTATTTTTAAAAGATGTTTATTTGGCTCATGGTTTGGAGACTGGGAAGTCCAAGGGCATGTCCACAGCTTTTGGAAATGGATTTCATGCTGCTGTACGTGGTAGAAAAGCAGCAGGCAGACGTGAGCACAAGCGACCGCAAGAATGAGCTGAGCTTGCCTTTAGAACAACACACTCTGATGAGAACTAACGCGTTCCCGTGATAATGGCATGAAGCCATTTGTAGGGCTCTGCCCTCACAGCCCAATCACCCCTGCAAGGCTCCACCTCTTCCTACTGTTACATTGGCAGTTAAGTTTCTAACACATGAACTTTTGGGAGCACACATTCGAACCATAGCCCATCTTAGGTCTCTAATTACACAGTGCGATCAGCCATGACTAGAGCCCTGCTAACTGATCACAGGTTTGATGAAATAAAGAAAGAGCAGTTTTGTGGTTTATTGTGATCCAGTCCATGGCATCCAGGTGAGAAATTCGTCAGTTCTGCACCATGCATTTATTTCTCTGTTAGTAAAAACTGCATTACAGACTGAATTTTTGTGTCCTCCCAAAATTTATATGTTTATGCCCTAATCTCCAATGTGATAATATTTGGAGATGGGACCTTTGGGAGGTGATTAGGTTTGGATGAGGTCATGAGGATGGTGCCGCCATGATGGGAATAGTACCCTTAGGGAAAGAAGAAAAGAGCAGAGCCTTTGCTCTCTCCTCCATGTAAAGATGCAGCAAAAAGACAGTCATCTGCCAACCAAGAAGCAAGCCCTTACCAGGCACTGAATCTGCTGGCACCTTGATCTTAGACTTCCCAGCCTCCAGATCTGCAAAAAATCAATTTCTGTTATTTAAGCCACCCAGTCTATGGTATTGTGTTACGCAAACCTAATCCGATTAAGACGAGCTATTTGGACCCATTGAAAAGGAAAGGGCTCATAGCCAACTCTTTTAAAAACCTTCCTCTCTTGTCTCCTTATTCACTTTTATGCACTTAAAATTTCTAGTATTTAATCAGCATCTTTTTATGCACGCTGCTATTCTCTTTCTATCTGTTCCAGTATCCTTTTCACCCTCCTGCCCATTTCCCCTTTTAGGTCATTGCCTGGCTACCTCTTACTGCATGTGCATCAAGACTCAGCTCAGGGCCGGGCGCGATGGCTGGCTCACGCCTGTAATCCCAGCACTTTGGGAGGCCGAGGTGGGCAGATCACGAGGTCAGGAGTTCAAGACCAGCCTGGCCAACCTAGTAAAGCCCCATCTTTACTAAAAATACAAAAAATTAGCCAGGCATAGTGGCGCATGCCTGTAGTCCCAGCTACTTGGGAGGCTGAGGCAGGAGAATGGCTTGAACCTGGGAGGCGAAGGTTGCAGTGAGCCAAGATCGTACCAATGCACTCTAGCCTGGGTGACAGAGCAAGACTCGGTCTCAGAAAAAAAAAAAAAAAGACTCAGCTCAGGTGTCTCCTCCTGCATGAAGCCTCCCAATGCCCTCCTCTCCCTCACCCCTAGCCTGGCCTGGATTCTACACACCCCCATAGCACCCTGTGTCACCTCCTTCCAAAGCCTCTATTCTCCTGTGCTTTATTTTTCACTCCCTCTCACTAGACTGTGGATTTCTCATTGAAGGCGGGAGTATGTGCCGAGCTCCAAGAGTAGAATCTTGAGCAGCAGGCATAAAAAAGTGTTTACCGAATAAAATGTGTGTGTCAGTGAAGCCCTTGGAACAGAGATCTTAGGTCATCAACACAAAGGGATGTCATTGTGCAAGAAAGGACCAGGGGGAACAAATGCCGGGCAAGGGCCACGGAGCAGATTAGAGTACAGCACAGATGTTCAAGTCAAAGTGGGGCCCCAAATGTTTCTAGAACCGTTGAGATAAAGGCAATGAAGTAACAGAGGAGTTTGGAATGGAACTGATTTTAGAAGCCCAGAGTGCAGAATCTCAGGAGGAGATGAATTTCAATATGGAGCATCAGAGACTGTGGAATATTTATCTATCTGAACAACAGCTCTTTCATGGGCTGAGTTGTGTCCTTGAGAAAGTTGAGCTGCTCTCAAGTCAAGCTCTTCTCAGACTTTAAGTTGGAAGATAAGAGAGGTATGGGGAGAAAAATGAGAGGCTGGAATTGGCACACACCAGAATTTTGCCTGGGCATTTACCATCCCCAGTCTCTCCTCCCCCCAAATCATGAAGCCTCTTTCTCTTCCGGGTTTGGGTGCCCCAGCAAGACTCCCAGATTCAAGAAGGCCATTCGTGTCTAACACATCTGCCAACAGGGAATGAGAACACCATATCCTCGCCCTGGTCACGCCCCTCCCTACTTGGGGTTTAGCTAGCCCACAGTTTCATGGGAAACTCTTGTTTCTTAGGATCTAAAGGTTAACTTGAAATTCGTTTCTGATGAAAAACGTAAGAAAACTTTGGAAAGCTGAGCTTGGGTGTTTTACCTTAGGTTAGCTTCCAAGTCCAGAAACTCTGCAAACTGTAAAAACTGTAGTGATGGATTTATGTGGTTCCCTGACCAATACAGATATTTGTAATAATAATAATAGAGGAAAAGATAGCACAGCCTCAGAATTTTTTCCCTTTACTCAGCTGAAAATTAAACCAGACAGGCAATTACTAAGGTTTTGCCATAATATGTAATATGTGTACACCGCATTTATGGCACATTACATCTTACATGGTTATTATTCTGCATTCTTCATCCAATCATCTTATTCCTTCTGGTATTTTTATGTGGTGAATGACTACAAGCTGAAAGTCAAGTGAGAAAGGCACTGGTACTGCAATAAAACACTGACTCAATAAAGAAGGGGCTATTTAAAATGTGACCACCACTACAGTGGACCACAATTGGGGATGTTGACAGTGAATTCTTGAAGACTGGAAAAGTACTAAGGTATTAAAGCACCATCTGTAATACTATTTTTACTGCTGTGACTCATTCTGTAATTCATTCTACTATCATGCCACAATTATAACTCATTCCTCTTTCTCAAACATCAAGATTCAATAGCTTTTTGAGTGCTTTTGTAATGCTCTCTGCACTTAACTAGAAAAAAAATCAAAAGAAGAGAATTTCATGTTAAAATAGAAATGTGATATTTAAAAAAATTTTTTTTTTAGATCTTGGAGAATGCTATTGTATATTCTGACCTATTATTAGAGGAAAAGGAAACAGTTCTATTAATACTAAGTATAAACTCAGATCTATTTGGAAAGCGCTTTCAACTGATTTTCTAAGTTGTGAGTCACTAGCTGTTTTTGGTGTTTGGTGTCATTTACTGGGAACTAAATTGAATCCTATTTTGGGTGTATCAGCAAAGATATAATGGATTATAGTAAGTCAGGCTTCTGTTCAGAATTTTTTTGTTCTGTTTCAAACAGTGTTTGGTCTATCTTTTCTTTCTTTCTCAATTCCCTAACTTCCTGTATCTTTTCTTTGGGAGCTAATGTTTTGTTTTCTTTCATTCATTTCTTTCATACTTGTTCTAACTTCCCACTTTTCTCTTTTGGAGAATTTAAATTATCACCACTCAGCAGTCTGGATTTTTCATTCTAAAGATAGAGCTCTGCCACTCAGCTGAGCAGGTGGAGGGTACAATTTGACTTCTTACATCTATTCTAAATAGTAGGATTTTAAGAGAGAGGTTTTATATTTTTTCCCCAATGTAAGAGAAAGTAGCCACATGAAGTATATAAGGGCCTAAGTACAACTTATTGGCATAGTAACATATATGTTATCATAATTTATATATGTTATCTATTATAATTACATATTCAACCCTATATTCTGACTTTGAGATCTAAAAATCAGCATGTATATGTTGTGAACTATTATGTTCTGACCCACCAAAGAGTAGTAAATGACAAAGGAATCTGTTGAAATATGCAACTTTTCCATAATTACTAGGTATAGTGAACTAGTTAAACAAAAAATGTAAGATCAATTATTTCCACTCTGTAGCTCGATGTCTAGTCCAAAGTGAGGCTCCAAAGGTCATACTGAATCAAACCACAAGAATAAACACATGATCAAAATGAAATACATAACTGCCTGTTGGAATAGACTTCTCTGGGCTGCTTACTTCTCTCACATTTTGTGAGTATCTTTAGGGCCAGGCTCTTCTCACCCTCTGGGGCATGTTAGTTGAAGACTTATTTTTGTCAACAGATTGTAATATTCTGAAGGCAGTGATTATGTTTCCTATTGCTTAGTGTCCTCTATAGGGCTAAGTGGCAAAGCTCTAAAAGGGCAGATGACCAGGAAATGTTTGCTGAATTGGAAAAATAAAACAAAACAATTCAAAGGAGGTGCTGGTGCTTCTTTACTTTACAATCCCAGACTCAGTTATAGAATGCTGGCCATAATCTCAGCAACCCAAGCTTGCTTTCTTTTTCTTTTCTTTTCTTTTCTTTTTTTTTTTTTTTGAGACGGAGTCTTGCTCTGTCACCCAGGCTGGAGTCCAGTGGCATAATCTCAGCTCATCTCAGCTCACTGCAATCTCTGCCTCCTGGGTTCAAGCCATTCTTCTACCTCAGCCTCCCAAATAGCTGGGATTACAGGCACGCGCCATCATGCCCAGCTAAATTTTTGCATTTTTAATAGAGATCGGGTTTTGCCATGTTGGCCAGACTGGTCTCAAACTCCTGACCTCAGATGATCCACCCGCCTCGGCCTCCAAAAGTGCTAGGATTTACAGGTGTGAGCCACTGTGCCCGGCCCCAGGCTTTATTTCAAGAAAGCATTCTTAAGAAGCTATGAAATGCCTCTGAAAATTCCTTGCAACCTTGGAGTAACTTGATCCGGAGCCTAGACACTTGATTCTAGTCCTTGATTTTCTTATCACTTTCTGTAAACATTGAATAAACTACTGACTCTGCATTGCCTTAGCAAACAGAGTTTGTGTACATACTGCATCATGGGGAGTTAACAAAACCAACTGAATTCACAGTGGCTGCTATGATCAGGACAACTAACGTGGTTGAACTAGAATGGATCTTAGGAAGTCACTTTTCTTTTGCCAGTAACACATGCATTCTTGTGCATGAAGCAATGTATGGCTGACAGCCATCAACTGAATTACTCAACAGCTCCTCTTTGGTGCAATGCACTGTGTTGGACTCTGATACCCTGAATTCTTGATCCTCAAGGCATCGCCAGGACATTGGACTTTAGGTAAGTTAGGAGTTCTTCTTGGCTGTGCTTAGGCATCCAAGGAGCAGTGTGTGGAGAAGCAAAATTCAAACAGGTGTTATAACAAGGAATTCAATTCTGTACAGCGTCAGAATCAAAGTGACTCCCACATCATGATCCAGTTTGAGCACTGCTCCTTGTGGGCTGTTTGGATACTTCCAGGTGATACTAGAACCCCCTGTAGATTCATTGAATGGAAAGAGAAAGGAATTTAGAGATAGCCAAACCTGGCTAAAAATTTTGGCTCCAACAATTACCAACTATGTGAGATTTTGAGCAAGTTGCTTAAACTCTTTGAGCATTAGTCTCCTCATCTACAAATTGGAAATTATGAGTTGTTGTTGTTATTAGATTAAATGGGATTATGCCAAAAAGCTTTTATTATAATTCATGCCATTTAGCAAACATCAAATAAAAGATAACTTTTCCTCTTCTTCCTTTCCCTCTCCCATCTTCTCCTCCTTCTCCTTGCTCTTCTGCTCTTATTCTTATTCTTATCCCTATTCTTCTTATTCTGTGTCTATACTGGGAAAAGTACACCAGCATGGAAGGCTACATCCATCTTGCATAGAATCAGGTGTGAGGAAGACCCTAGTCCTCTTCATGGCCTTGTGTGCATGCACACACTTATATGTAAAGGCAGGAAAAGGGTTTGAGGTAGAAGGGGAAGATGGCACAGATTTTTTGAGGCAGGGATACTATCTCACGCAACACACCACCTGAATAGCCCCCTGCCCAACCAGTTAACACTCCTTGAGCAGGGAGCTGGTGATACGCTGATTTGGTCTAATTGTCATCTCTCTTCAGTCTCTTCAATTCCTGTGCCCTAGGAAGGTATGTGGAAAGAGAGAGGCAGCACTTTACTAATGGATGATTCTGCATTCTCATAAAGACCATTCTCAAGTTCACAGGCTTCAGAGGGGTGCTGCCTCCAACCACGCCTCACCCAACCCTGGTCCCCTTCTGCTCACTCCAGGGGCCCTACCAGATGAGCTTTCTGAGATCCACATGGTCCAAGGCCTTTCTCTTGGCTACTTCATATTCTAAATGCTGGGGCAAGGAACACAGTAGAAATTAAAGATGGGGAACTTGGCAGACAGGAAAAACAATTCCTGTGTACGCCAACAATTTGTAGCTAGGTCACCAAATTTGAGCTGCAAGAAAGAGGTAGATAAACACAAAACTAGACTAAGAACACATTCATCCATTTATTAATCTATTCAATTAGTTAAGATTATTATTATTTAAGTTGTTATTAATCTGTTATTTAGTTAAGATTATCATTTGGCTAAGATTGTTCGCTAAATCCCTATAATTGTAATCCCTGCTGTAACAGACACTGGGCTAAAAGCTGAGGTTGTAATGGTAAACGAATCACATAGAACACCTACACTCATGCATTTATAGTCTGGTCTGGAATCTTATGGCCTTGATGAGTAAACATCCACTTGTCTAATAATATTTCAGCTACTAGTGCCGTGTAACAAATTATCCCCCAAGTTAGCAGCTTACACCAACCTTTGTATGATGCTCATGGCTCTGAAGTTCAGGAATTTGAACAGGGCACAGCATTCCCTAATGTCTGAGGCTCAGCTAGCAAGACTCAATGGCCAGGGGCTGAAATTACCTGGTGGTGTCTCTGTTCACTTGGCTGAGTTCTTGCTGGCTGTTATCTGGGAGCCCTGTTGAGTTGTTGCCAGGAATACCTACATCATGTGACCTCTCCAACAGGATAGCCTTAGGGTAACTGTGTCTCTTAGGTGGCAACTGGCTTCCCCTAGAGCAAGCATCTCAATAGAAACCGGCAAAAGATGCATGGCTTTTTCGGGCCCTGCCTCGAAGATCATTGGCCATCACTTCTGTCACATTGTATTGGTTATTAAGGCTGAATAGACTCCAGGGAAGGAGAATTTGAGTCCTTTAACGTCTGCTGCTTGCAGCTAATAATGAAGGAGAGGCAAGGTAGGAGCACGTGGGATAGGAGATAGAGCTGTGGACATCTGTAGAAAATGCAGTCTGCAAAAATGACAAGTGTTATGGTAGGGGAAGAGAGGGGAATATATGAGGAGCCTTAGTCCTCATTGGCAAAGTCAGTTAAGAAGTTTTCAAAGAAAATGTCCACCTAGCTGAGGACCAGTGGAAATTAACCAAACAAAAATTACATGTAACATAGTATTTTAAGCAGGTGAAACAACATGGGTGAAGGCCAAGGGTCTGTTGAGAGCCTAGGCCATATGTGGAACTGAAATAGTGTCCGTGTAGCTGCCTTATAGGGTATGAGGGTGATATGTAATCAGGGAGGGTGTGATAAAGTTGGTAGAAAGGAGTGTAGCCTAGTGTAGTGAATTCTTATAATTTTATGTTGTCTCAGCATCCATTTGGAATAAAAGTTGGACTTTTTCATACCCAAAATAGGGCTTCATCACCCTTGACATGGTTTCTAGTTCTCTGTCTTCTCAACTCCTCAAAGTGGTTATTCCAGATATTTGCCTTAAATGACCACCTCCTGGTGACCCCCTCCCCATGGGTCAGCTAGATACAACCTGCTTGACTCACCCCACTGACCCCCACACCCCACATGGACTGTGCAGTGACCACCTCTCAGTCACGGCACAACCCCACAGAGCTCATATCTGCTTGCTGTAAACCCACCACTTAGAACTCGTCATGGGAAACCTAACTGGGGAAGGCCCTGGACTCCAGTAAAGGCTTTGGCCCACAGGTGTCTCTGTGTCTTGCTCCCCATTTGCTGATCGTGCATGGATGTCCTGGATAGCTGCCTTCTTTCCATTGGCCCTGTGAGTCATGCTGCTCTGTGCTCTCTGGGATCTGTAAGGAATACACCGCTTCTGGTAGATTGTGTGTTGTTGAGTTGCTTCCTCTGTATCTCACTTGAGAAACACACCTGAACCTAACTTCTTTCCTGGTCAGAGCTCTCTAGAGCATGGCTATCTTGGCAGGAATAAACTGGACACGAGTTAGACAAGAGCACAAGGGCATCTTCCAGAATAAATGAGTTTCCTGTTTGAGGGACACCCGGTCACAGATGGGACACTTAGTCATGAGGCAATGAGCCAGGATAAAGAAGTACCCTGTGAAAGGCACGTTCTAAACATGCATGGTCAAATCCCCTGGAGCCCCATCAGCACAGGGCTGGAGTTCATAGCCACTCTAGAGATAGAGACCTCATGAGTAAATTAGAGAAAAATACAACATGTTGTGTGTATATGTGTGTGTGATAAAGAAATGAAGCTAGAGGTAAACAGTGTTTACCACATCATGAAGGTTCTGGTGAAACATACTATGGAGTTTGAACAATAGTCAGTTGGGGGCAGAAAGAAAACATTTATATTTTGAAAGGATATTATAGGCAGCATACAAATGAGTACAGGATTCAAATGCAATCAACCCTTAATTTTCCAAAATTCAAACTCTGTAACAGATAAAGATACTTATCCTGGCCATGAAGAAGAAAGTGTAAGCTGCTTGTTTGTCTTCTATATTATTATTTTAAAATTTTAAATGAAAAGTCCTCTTTATTATCCTAAAGAAGTATACTTAAAGCTCAGATACTATTAAATTTCCTCCCACTCCTCAACTTATAAGATTCACATATATAAGATTTTTCTGACTCCTATGAAAAGCATTGGTACACCTGAAATATTGCCCTAAGGCCTTACGTTAAGTATCATTTATTGCTACTATTATTTTTCATAAATATGGAGAAAATCTTCACTCCAAGAGAAAATTTAAATCCCCAGTCACCAGTCTCTTCTCTAGAAAGAATCAAACTTTCCTCAAGAAGCAAAGATGCTGAGTAGGAGATGCCATCATCATAAGACATTTGATGATACTGTGGTCTGCATGGCAAACGGCCTTTTACTCTGTGAAACCATTAATTTCCTGCACTGTGGTTCTCAAGTGTTTGCCTTCTTGGAACAATGATAGGAAGTTTCCTAACATAAGAAGGACTATGACGACAGCTACATGTTGCTCCTCCTAGATTTGGAAAATGTCCCATTGTCCTTCATGCATTAGATGGATCTAAAATAAGAAGTCTAGACAGTGGAAAATGTATGTAAGACTTGAGTTTGTTCCCTATTATTTAGTATTGTCAAATGGAAGTCACTCAGTAATCTCCCCTCTAATCAAAGCAGAATTGAGGAAGTATGCAAGAGTATAAAGTACATATGTAAAAGTAAGGTCATGAATCTTAGGCAGTTTTCCTAGTTCATTGTTAGCTACTTCAAGTTTTTTTAGAAGTAGGTAAGATAAAAATTATATGGAAGTGAAAAAAATTTTATTTATCAAGTTTGAAAGCAGCTTGTTTCTAATATTCAAGACCCTTCACTGCCCAATAGACTTTGATTATAGCCGGTAAATAGTTGGTTTAGTCGGTTTGATACTTTGCCAGTTGACGTGAGGCCACACCAGTCTATTTTATCTTTTACTATATCCCAACACAACAGGTGTTTTACACCCTTTTATTTGAAGAAACTTTGAGAAAGCTTACTATTCAGGCTTTGTTCTTCTTCTTACCCCCACTGGTAATATCCTACATTTCAAAACGAAGTAGTAGTGTTCAACTTTGTTCTTCTTTTCTACATTTTCTTTGGATACTCTAAGTCACTTGAATTTCTGAATGAGTTTTAGAATCAGCTTTCATTTTCTGAAAAAAAGAAAAGAGATAAAAAATGCATCTGGGATTTTGATTGAGATCATATTGATTCAACAGAGAGATTTGGGGAAAATTGATGTCTTAACAATACTAAATCCTCTGACCCAGGAACAAAGTCTCTTCATTTTTTCCCCTCTAATTTCTCAGCAAAGTTGCATCATTTTCAAGGCAGATATTTTGTCAGATTTATCCCTACTTATTTCGTTTTTTTTGCGCAATTGTAAATGATGTCATTTTTAAAGTTTTTTCCATTTCCAATTGTTCATTGCTAATTTATAGAAATACAATTAAATTTTGTATATTGATTTTATATTCTAAAATTTGCTACCCTAACTTACTGGTTCTAGTAGTTTTTTATAGATCACACTGACTTTTAAATATAGACAATTATATTGCCTGCAAAAGAAAAATTTTTCTTCCTTTTCAATCTTGATGCCTTTTATTTTTTCCCCTTGCCCTATTATACTGGCTAGATTCTTCAATACAATGTTGTATAGAAATGGTTGCAGCAAGCATCCTTGTCTTTTCCTTCATGTTTGGAGAAAGGATTCAGTCTTTCATCATTAAGTTTGATGTTAGTTCTAGGGGTCTTTTTTGTTGATGCCATTTATCAGGTTGAGGAGAGCCCTTTATATTCCTAGTTTGCTAAAATGTTTTAACAGGAATGGTGGTTGGATTTGTCAGAGGCTTTTTCTGCATCTACAAAGATGATCACGATGTTTCTTTTTTTGTTTGTTATGGTGAATTACATTAATTGTGTTTAAAATGTTAAACCACTCTTGCACTCCTGAGATAAACCTCACTAGGTCATGGTGTGTTATCGTTTTCATTTGTTGTTAGATTGACTTGTTAAATTTTTGTTTAGGATTTTTACATTTAAGTTCATGAAAAATATTGATACGTAGTTTTCTTATCTTACAATGCTTTGTAATGTCTTTATCAAGGTAATTCCAGCTTCATAGAATGAGCTAGGAAGTGTTATCTGCTCCTCACTCTCTGGAAATGTTTGTACAGAGTTGATATTATTTCTCTCTTGACTGTTTGGTGGAATTCACCAGTGAAGCCATCTGGGTCTGTAATTTCCTTTGTGGGTTTTAAACTACAAATTTAATTTCTTTCATAGATGGGGGTCTATGCAGATTTGTTTCTTCTTGAATGGGTTGTAGTAATTTGTGCCATTTAAGAAATTTGTTTAACCTAAGCTATCACGTTTATTGACGTAAAGTTACTCCTAATATTCCTTAGTATCCTTTTAATATCTCATATGGTTTGGCTGTGTCCCCAACCAAATCTCATCTTGAATTGTAGCACCCATAATTCCCGCGTGTTGTGGAAGGGACCCAGAGGGAGATAATTGAATCATGGGGGTGGTCTCCCCCATACTGTTCTTGCGGTGGTAAGTCTTCTAAGATGTAATGGTTTTATAAGGGGAAACCACTTTTGCTTGGCTCACTTTTTTTTTGGCCTGCTGCCATGTAAAATGTGCTTTTTGCCTTCTGCCAGGATTGTGAGACCTCCTCAGCCACGTGGAACTGTGAGTCTATTAAACCTCTTTTTCTTTATAAATTACCCAGTCTTGGCTGGGTGCAGTGGCTCGCGCCTGTAATCCCAACACTTTGGGAGGCCAAGGTGGGCAGATCACAAGGTCAAGAGATCAATACCAGCCTGGCCAACATGGTGAAATCCCATCTCTACTAAAAATACAAAAATTAGCTGGGCATGGTGGCACATGCCTGTAGTCCCAGCTACTCAGGAGGCTGAGGCAGGAGAATTGCTTGAACCTGGGAGGCAGAGGTTGCAGTGAGCTGAGATTGCGCCTGCACTCCAGCCTGGGCAACAAGAGTGAAATTCTGTCTCAAAAAAATAAATAAATAAATAAATAAATAAATAAATAAATTACCCAGTCTCGAGTATGTCTTTATCAACAGTGTGAGAGCAGACTAATACAGTAACTTGGTACTGGTAGAGTGGGGTGCTGCTGTAAAGATATCAGAAAATGTGGAAGCAACTTTGGAACTGGGTAATAGGCAGAGGTTGGAAGAGTTTGTAGGGCTCAGAAGAAGATAGAAAAATGTGGGAAAGTTTGAAACTTCCTAGAGACTTGTTGAATGGCTTTGACCAAAATGCTGATAACGATATGGATGATGAAATCCAGGTTGAGGTGGTTTCAGATGGAGATGAAGAACTTCTTGGTACCTGGAGTAAAGGTAACTCTATGTTTTAGCAAAGAGACTGGCAGCATTTTGCCCCTGCCTAGAGATTTATGGAACTTTGAACTTGAGGGAGATTATTTAGGGTATCTGATGGAAAAGATTTCTAAGCAGCAAAGCATTCAACAGGTGACTTGGGTGCTGTTAAAAACATTCACTCTTAAAAGGGAAAAAGAGCATAAAAGTTTGGAAAATTTGCAGCCTGGTGGTGCAATAGAAAAGAGAAAAACATTTTCTGAGGAGAAATTCAAGCCAGATGCAGAAATTTGCATAAGTAATGAAGAGCCAAATGTTAATCGCCAAAACAATGGGGAAAATGTCTCCAGGGCAGGTCAGAGACCTTTATGGCAGCCACTCCTATCCAGGAGAAAGAAATGGTTTTGTGGGCCCAGGGCTCCCCTGCTCTATGGAGCCTAGGGACTTGTTGCCCTGAATCCTAGCTGCTCCAGCCATGGCTAAAAAGGGCCAAGGTACAACTCAGGCCATGGCTTTAGAAGGTGGAAGCCCAAAGCCTTGGCAGCATACACATGGTGTTGAGCTTGCAGGCACGAGGAAGTCAAGAATTGACATTTGGGAACTTCCGTCTAGATTTCAGAAGATGTATGGAAACACCTGCATGACTAAGCAGAGGTGTGCTGTAGGGGTGGAGCCCTCATGGAGAACCTCTGCTAGGGCAGTGTGGAAGGGAAATGTCAGATGTGATTCCCCACACAGAATCCCCAATGGGACACTACCTAGTGGAGCTGTGAGAATAGGGCCACCATCCTCCAGACCCCAGAATGGTAGATCCACTGACAGCTTGCACTGTGCACCTGGAAAAGCTGCAGACAATCAATGCCAGCTCCTGAGAGCAGCCAGGAGGGAGGCTGTACACTGCAAAGCCACAGGGGTGGAGCTGCCCAAGACCATGGGAACCCACTTCTTGCATCAGTGTGACCTGGATGTGAGACATGGAGTCAAAGGAGATCATTTTGGCGCTTTAAGATTTGACTACCCCGCTTGATTTCAGACTTTCATGGGGCTTTTAGCCCCTTTGTTTTGGCCAATTTATCCAATTTGGAATGGCTGTATTTACCCAATGCCTATACCCCAGTTGTATCTAGGAAGTAACTAACTTGCTTTTGATTTTACAGGTTCATAGGTGGAAGAGACTTGCCTTGTCTCAGATGAGACTTTGGACTGTGGACTTTTGTGTTAATGCTAAAATGAGTTAAGACTTTGGGGGATGGTTGGGAAGGGATAATTGTTTTGAAATATGAGGACATAAGATATGGGAGGGGCCAGAAGTAGAATGATATGGTTTGGCTGTGTCCCCAACCAAATCTCATATTGAATTGTAGTTCCCATAATTCCCATGTGTTGTGGGAGGGACCCAGTGGGAGATAATAGAATCATGGGGGTGGTTCCTCCATATTGTTCTCGTGGTAGTGAATAAGTCTCACAAGATCTGATGGTTTTATAAGAGCAAACCCCCTTTTGCTTGGCTTGCATTCTCTTTTTGCCTGCTGCCATGTAAGATGCGCTTGTTGCTTTCCACCATGATTGTGAGGCCTCCCCAGCCACATGGAACTGAGTCCATTAAACTTCTTTTTCTTTATAATTTACCCAGGCTCAGGTCTGTCTTTATCAGCAGTGGGAAAACAGACTAAGACAATATCCATAGAATCTGTAGCTATGTCACCTTTGTGTTCATGATATTGTCCACTTGTGTTTTCATTTTTCCTGATCAGTTTGGCTAGAGTTCTATCAATTTTATTACCCTAAATAACTGAATTTGGGTTTTATTGATTGTATTATTCTGTTCTCTCATGGCTATAAATAAATACCTGAGACTGGGTAATTTATAAAGAGATTTAATTGGCTCATGGTTCTGCAGGCTGTATAGGAAGCATGATGTTGGCATCTGCTCAGCTTCTCGGAATGCCTCAGTAAACTTAAAATCATGGCAGAAGGTGAAGGGGGAGCAGGCACATCACACGACCATAGAAACATCGAGAGAGAGCAAAGGTGCTACGCACTTTTTTTTTTTTTTTTTTTTTGAGACGGAGTCTCGCTCTGTCGCCCAGGCTGGAGTGCAGTGGCGGGATCTCGGCTCACTGCAAGCTCCGCCTCCCGGGTTCACGCCATTCTCCCGCCTCAGCCTCCCAAGTAGCTGGGACTACAGGCGCCCGCCACTACGCCCGGCTAATTTTTTGTATTTTTAGTAGAGACGGGGTTTCACCATTTTAGCCGGGATGGTCTCGATCTCCTGACCTCGTGATCCGCCCGCCTCGGCCTCCCAAAGTGCTGGGATTACAGGCGTGAGCCACCGCGCCCGGCCTGCTACGCACTTTTAAACAATCAGATCTTGCAAGAATTCTCTATCATGAGAACAGCACCAAGGGGATGGTACTAAACCATTCATGAGAAATCCACTCCCATGATTCAGTTACTTCCTACCATGCCCCACCTCCAACACTAGGGGATTACAATTTGATGTGAGCTTTGTGCAGGGATACAGATGCAAATCATATCGTTGATCTTCTTTATTGTTTTTGTTTTTTTATTTCATTAATTCTATCATGATTTTCATTATTCCCTTTCATCTGCTTACTTTGAGTTTCATTTGCTCTTCTTGTTCTGGCTCAATAAGGTGAGAGCTGAGTTTATTGACTTGAGGCTCCTCTTCTTTTCTAAGTCAGGTGTGGAGTGGTATAAATTTCCCCTGAAGTATTGCTTCAGTAGCTGCCCACAAATTTTCATCTGTTGTGTTTTCATTTTCATTCTTTTAAATATAGTTTCAATTCCCCCCTTGTTTTCTTCTTTGTCTTGTGGGTTATTTAAAAGTGTCTTATTTAGTTCCCAAATATTTGTGGATTTTCAAATATTGCTGTTATTTATTTCTGGTTTAATTCTATTGTGGTCAGAGAATTTACTTTGTATGACCTGAATTCCTTCAAATTTATTAAAACTTGTTTTGTATCCTGAAATATGATCTATCTTAGTAAATACTTTTCACTTTTTAAAAAATGTGCATTCTTCTGGGTGAAGAGTTCTTTAAATGTCAATTAGGTCAGGTTGGTTGATAGCGATGTTCATGTCTTTTATGTCTTCACTAATTTTCTGTCTACTCATTCTATCAATTATTGAAAGAGATGTATTAAAATCTCTAGGTATAATTGAGAACTTGTCTATTTTTCCTTGTGGTTTTATCAGTTTTTGTTTCATGTGTTTTTAGCTTCTGTTATTAGCTGTATAAAGTTTTAGGTTCTATTATTAGCTACATAAAGTTTTGTTATGTCCTCTTTAGGAACTGACCCAAATATCATTATAAATGGACCTTCTTTATCTTTGATAATACTTTTTGCTCTGACAGCTAGTTATCTGATATTGATATAGCCAGTCTATTTTTATTTTTATTAATGTTAGTATAGTACATTTTTTTCCAACTTTTTTCTTTTTGCGTATTTGTATCTTTGTATTTAAATTGTGTTTCTGGTAGGCAGCAAAGGGTTGAGTTTTGCTCTTCTACTCAATTTGACAATCTCTGTCTTTTAATTCAGGTGTTTAGATCATTTACATTTAACGTGCTTGTCGATATTTTTAGATTTAAATATATTATACTATGTGAAGTCTATTTGTCCTCTTTTTTTTAAATTCCACTTCCCTCTTTACACTTTTTTTTTTGGATTAATTAAGTATCTTTAAAACATCATTGTATGTTTTTTGTTGGCTTATTACCAATAACTTCTTGTTTTGTTCTCTTGGTGGTTTCTTTCCTATTCATATGATACATCTTTAACAACATACCATGTCTTCAAATAACATATCACTTCATGTAGAGTATAAAAATCTTATGATATTACACTTAAACTTCTACCTTCCCAGCCTTTGTGCTATTGTTTTCATATATTTTACTTATACGTATAAAGCCTCATACTACATTGATATTATTTTTATTTAGTCAATTATCTTTTAGAGATATTTAAGCACTAATAATGCCATATTTACCCATATAGTTAATTTCTTATAGTGTGGATATTATGATGATGCATTCTTCCAGCATTTGTATTTCTGAAGAAGTTATTTTCTTCATTTTTGCTGGGTATAGATTTCTTAAAAGATATTTTTAATAAGTATTGATTTCTAGTTAGCAGAGTTTTTTTTTTCTTTTAGGGTCTAAAGATATTATCTTATTGTCATCTCACATGCCTTGTGTCTGATGAGAAATCTGCTGCTGTCCTTATTTTTGTTCTTTTGTAAGTAATACATTTTTTATCTATGGCTGCTTTTCAAGTTTTCTATGTATCACTGGTTTTGAGGAATTTTATTATGACACACTGTGTGGTAGTTTTATCATGTTTCTTGTGACTGGCATTTATTGATCGTTTGTCTGTGGATTTAATTTTTATCAAATTTTTGTCTATTGTTTTCTTAAATATTTTTTGTCTGTTCCCTCTTCTCATTCCTCTTATTTGGAGACTACAATTACATAAATATTAACTCACCTGAAGTTGTCCCACAGCTAACTGATGCTCTTCTTGTTTTAAATTCTTTTTGCTTTTGTTTTACTTTAGATAGTTTCTATTTCTATGCCTTTAAGTTCACTAAACTTTTCTTCTACAATATGTAATGCTGTAAGTCTTATGAAATTTATTTTTTATTACAGACATTTTAGTTTTCATCTCTTGAGGTTGGGTTTGGGTCATTTGAATACATTTTCCATGCTACTTCTTAACTTTTAAACAGAGAGAATACATCCGACTATTGATGGGGAATCTGTCTCCCTTTGCATCTCACTTCTCTCCAGCATTCTGTCCTTGTTCTCCTGAGCTCAGTCTTCTTCTCCTGAGACTCTCAGCTCCATCCCCTCAACTCAAGGAGTCCAGTGGGCTCCCCTTGAGTTTTGTCTCCCAGTGGCACAGCCTAAAAACTCTCTCAAAGCTGCACGCTGGGGCAATTATAGGGCTTACCTTATATGTTTCTCATCAGTCAGGATCATTGTACTCTATTTTCTTATATTCAGTATCTCGAAAACTGTTGCTTTTTTTGTTGTTGTTCTTTTCTTTTCAGACAGGAGGATAAATCCACTCTGTGCTACTCATCTTGGATGTAAGCCAAATTCCTCCTTTTTTTTAAAAAAAGCCATAAATGCTATTCCTTTACCTGAACTTAGTCTTAATAATTACATAAAATTGTTAGCAACCCAATAAATAGAGAATTAGTAAATGAGAAAAAAACAAAGAAAATATTCAGAATGTATCACAGGAAAAAAGAAATAGAAAATATGAAGAATTATGAGACATGGAGTAGAATGGAAAACTACAGCATATTTTTTGCATTCTGTTTCTTCTGGGTTTGATTTTCTTCTTACTAATGTACACCTTTTGTAGTTCTTTCAGTGATGGAAAGACCATGAGTCATAAACTCTCAGGTTTGATTCATTTGAAATTGTCTTTATTTTACCGTTACTCAAGAATAATAATTTAGCTAGAGAAAACTTCCCAGGTTGGTAACTATTTTCTTCTAATGCTTAAAGGCATTATTTTATTGTTTTCTGGACTCTAGTATAGCTAATGAGAATTTTTCTATTCGTCTAGTTGTTTCTTTTGTAAATAATCTAGGTTTTACACTGATTGCTTTTAAAATTTTCATTTGTCTTTAGTAGCCTGCTGCATGCTACTGATCATCATCTGGAATTCTGGTACTTTAATCCTTCTTGCTGCTACCACCACTTGGGAGTCAGACAGGAAGTAATCTTGAAAAGGCCATATTTTCTTTTATTACTTTGTTTCATATACCCAGGACCAGCTTCATGGGTCTGCAACCTATGCAATCACAGAGAATGTCACATTTAAAAGGGTCCCAAACTTATTTTAGTGTTCTGCAATTGCCATCTTGTAATTCCTAATAATTTAAATTTGTTTAAATTTTATTTTTAATTGTGGTAAGATACACACAACATAAGATTTACCATCTGTTTTGTGTTGCTTATAAAGGAATACCTGAACTTGGGTAATTTATAAAGAAAGAGGTTTATTTAGTTCTCAGTTCTTCAGGCTATACAAAAAGCATGGAACCAGCATCTGCTTTTGGTATGGGCTTCAGTAAGCTACCACTCATGGTGGAAGGCAAAGGGGAACTGACATGTGCAGAGATCACATGGTGAAAGAAGAGGAAAGGGGTGGGGGAAGGACCAGGCTCCTTTGAATAACCAGCTCTCATAGGAATTAATAAGAGTGAAAACTCATTAACCCCTGAGGGAGGGTAGTAATCTAATCATGAAGAATCCACCCCCATGACCCAAACACCTTCCAATTGGCCCCACCTGCCAACACCACCACAGTGGAAATTAAATTTCAAAATGAAATTTGATGGGAACAAACCATAGCAGTATTGTATCAATTTTTGCATCTACATTCAGTAGAGTTAAGTACATTAACATTATGAAACCAATCTCCAGAACTCTTTTTACCTTGCAGAACTGAAATTCTTTCTCCATTAAACAACAACTCCCATTTCCTCTCTCTCAATCCTTGTTAATTACTATTCTACTTTCTGTCTGAAGTTGACTACTCTAGGTACCTCATATAAGTGAGATTACACAGTATTTGTCCTTTTGTGGCTAGCTTTTTTCACTTAGCATAATATCCTCAAGATCCATCCATATTGTAGCATGTGTGGCATTTCCTTCCCTTTTAAGGGCGAATAACATTCCACTGTAGGTATATAACACATTGGGTGAAAATTCTGAAAAATACTTTTGAAAAAGTGTTCCCACATTTTAATTTCACACTAGTCCTGTAAATTATGCAACTGGTCCTGTTTTTATTTAATTATACAAGAATTTTACTTTAAAAAACTGTAAAGGAATACAGTATAGGAGGGGAAATTAATCAATAGTGTATGCTTCACAAGACTACTTTCCATAGTCCAAAAGAAAATTACACAGAGTTAAACCCTTCGTAGATATACACCACATACCCAGCCTTGCCCCCTGACCCTTGGGTCTCCCTCCCTCTAAGGAGGCTTTTCCTTCTCTAACAACTGGAGTGTGAGTCTTCATCTCCCCTTTGGAAAAACCCCTCCCCTACTCACTGGTATCAGTCATGTCCAAGAATTCTCATCCTACCCATTTCCACATCTCAACCAGCACAATCTCTAGGACAATATTTTCCAGTAGGAAATTTCCCAGGTTAAGCTAGGATATCACTGGGACATGAGTTTTCCTAAGGACAGTCAAGATAAATATTGGCACTCTGAGTTCTCTCTGAGATCAAGTCAGTGCTCTCTGAGATCTCCCTGGTAGTGTAATGTAGAAATATGCCTTCCTCAGTCATCTCACAGGTAATTCTTGCCTCAGGAGAGATGTTAAGTTCCAGAAACATCACAATTGCGACTTGTAATAAGAATGAGAGAGTTTCTCTAATTACAGTCTATTGTGCTCAGGCTGCTTCCACAGCCAATGACAATATATATTATTTTGTCCACAAGTGACAGGTTGCCCTTTGTCTCCTTTCTAATTCAAAATTTGACCAGAGGCCCAGAGCACATAAAAAATGAGCCCTAGCAAATACACTCATCCTTCCGTGGCCCTGGGGGATTGGTTCCAGGACCCCCATGGATACCAAAATCCACACATACTCAAGTCCTTTGTATAACACAGTGTAGTATTTACATATAACCTATGCACATCCTCTTGTATGTTTTAAATCATCTCTAGATTACTTATAATATCTAATACAATGTAAATGCTATCTACATAGTTATACTCTATTGTTTAGGGAATATTGACAAGAAAAAATGTCTGTATATTTTCAGTGCAGACAAAAATATTCATTTTTTAAAAATATTTTTAATACGTGCTTGGTTGAATTCATGGATGTGAAACTCATGAATACAGGGGAGCAACTGTAAAGCTTTTGCAAACTATAGAGCCATTCACTTTTTGGGGTCCTCCCTGTGGTCACACAAATACCTAGATCAGGCTTTGACCTAAGAGTTTTGCTGCAAAAGTGAATCAGAATTAAAGTAGTTTCATAATTTTTAAAGCAATTCCCAAGGCCTAGAGGATGGGATGCTGCAGAGGGCTGGGGAGTGTGTGTGTGTTTGTGTGTGGTGCTTGAGGGTGGTGTGAGGGAACGTGATGCTGCTCGTCACATGAGTTTAGATGAATGAGCCTGTGAAATGGAATTGGGTGACAAAATAATCCTCAGGGAAAGCCTGTTAGGTGGTTGGAGTTCTAATTATAAATGAAAGAGGTCAGACCTCATTATGATAAAAATGCAGTTTTAGCTTCATGATTTCAGCTAGTGCTTTTGATCCAGCTATTAAAAATCCTGCAAAGATTTTAAAGGCAATTTGGTTCATTTAATAGATTGTCTAGACCTGAGCTGACCAGCGGGGTGGCTTTGGGTCATTTAAAACGTGCTGTACATGTAAAAGTCCCAGTTGATTTTGAAGACTAATGAAAAATAAGAAAGCCAAATATTAAAAAATATAACATTTTGTACATATTGGGTTAAATAATATGCTATTATAGTTTTAACTGTTTATTTTTACTTTGATTTTCCTGTGGGGTTTTTTTTCAGTGAAAACCAAAAAACCTGTTAGAAATTCTAACACTAGTCCTTTAGAATTTAGAATTCTGAATTCTAAAAGAGTTGTAACGCTTCTTTTTAGTTTTCAAATGGAGCTACTACATTTAAAATTGCACAGTGACTTGGTTTTGTGGCTCACATTACATTTCTATTAGACAGCACTGGTCCAGAATCCATTTAGTTTTTGACATAAATTAGATCTTTGATAGTCTCAGATTTATTTTCATCCCCAAGGTTCATGACGTTTTGCATACTTCCTAACTGCAGTCTCAGAAGTGAGTCAATTGCAGCGGGTTAGGTGACACTAGCCTGCCTGCCAGCACTCTTGCCTCCAACTCTCTACAAGTTGTCTCCTACACATACCTCAGGTGAAGAGGGAATCATTTATTTCTTTGAGGAAAAGAAGACTCTTCCCTCCAACCAAGCTGATGTTCCAAACTATTTTTTTTTTACATTTGATTTGATTTTTTGAGACAGAGTTTTGCTCTTGTTGTCGCTCTGGAGAGCAACGGCGCAACCTCCACGTCCCAGGTTCGAGTGATTCTCATGCCTCAGCCTCCCAAGTAGCTGGGATTACAGGCATCTGCCACCTTGCGTGGCTAATTTTGTATTTTTAGTAGAGACGGGTTTCACCGTGTTGGCCAGGTTGGTCTCGAACTCCTGACCTCAGGTTATCCACCCGCCTTGGCCTCCCAAAGTGCTGGGATTACAGATGTGAGCCGCCATGTCTGGCCCAAACTATTTTTTTTAACCTAAACTGTAGGATATAGTAAGTAGCAAATTGTCAAATTTAGCAGAGCTTTTCATTATAATATCCATGAGTCTATCAACCATGCTATAAATAAATAGGTGACTTAAAGCCTTAAATGTCTTTCTGAATGCTCTGGCCAGAGCAGAAAATGGAGAGATGACTTCAGCAAATGCTGAATTGCAATTCGACTTTATTCTTAATGAGGCAGATAATTTGTAGTGTGATGAAATACACAGAAAATGCTATGTTCAGTGGACTCAGGAGAGACTTAATAGATAGAAAACTTCTTTTGCTCCTGGAAGCTAAAGGGAAGGAGAAGGGAGACAGAGGAGAGATAAAGGGAAAGACAAGAGGTATCAAAAGACTATATATTCAGGAGATTCTGTTCCAAGATGGCTGAATAGGAACAGCTCCAGTATGCAGCTCCCAGCATGATCGATGCAGAAGACGGGTGATTTCTGCATTTCCAACTGAGGTACCTGGTTCATCTCATTGGGATTTGCTGGACAGTGGATGCAGCCCACGGAGGGTGAGCTGAAGCAGGGCAGGGCATCGCCTCACCCGGGAAGCCCAAGGGGTTGGGGGATTTCCTTTTCCTGGCCAAGGGAAGTTTTCCACATAGCACCTGGAAAACTGGGACATTCCCACCCAAATACTGTGCTTTTCTAACGGTCTTAGCAAATGGCACACCAGATTATATCCTGCACCTGGCTCGGAGGATCCCAAGCCCACAGAGCCTTGCTTACTGCTAGCGCAGCAGTCTGAGATTGACCTGCGAGGCAGCAGCCTGGCAGGGAGAGGGGCATCTGCCATTACTGAGGCTTGAGTAGGTAAAAAAAAGTGGCCGGAGAAGTTCAAACTGGGCGGAGCCCACTGCAGCTTAGCAAGGCCAGCTGCCTCCGTAGTCTCCACCTCTGGGGGCGGGGCATAGCTGAACAAAAAGCAGCAGAAACTTCTGCAGACTTAAACATCCCAGTCTGACAGCTCTGAAGAGAACAGTGGTTCTCCCAGCACAGTGTTTGAGCTCAGAGAACGGACAGACTGCCTCCTCAAGTGGGTCCCTGACCCCCATGTAGCTTAACTGGGAGACATCTTCCCGTAGGGGCCAACTGATACCTCATACATGAGGGTGCCCCTCTGGGACAAAGCTTCCGGGGGAAGGATGAGGCAGCAATATTTGCTATTCTGCAATATTTGCTGTTCTTCAGTCTCCGCTGGTGATACCCAGGCAACCAGGGTCTGGGGTGGACCTCCAGCAAACTCCAACAGACCTGCAGTTGAGGGACCTGACTGTTACAAGGAAAACTAACAAACAGAAAGGAATAGCATCAACATCAACAAAAAGGACATCCACACCAAAACCCCATCTGTAGGTCACCAACATCAAAGACCAAAGGTAGATAAAACCACAAAGATGGGGATAAACCAGAGCAGAAAAGCTGAAAATTGTAAAAGCCAGAGAGCCTCTTCTCCTCCAAAGGATCACAGCTCCTTGCCAGCAATGGAACAAAGCTGGACGGAGAATGACTTTGATGAGCTGACAGAAGTCGGCTTCAGAAGGTTGGTAATAACAAACTTCTCCGAGCTAAAGGAGGATGTTCAAACCCATTGCAAGGAAGCTAAAAACCTTGAAAAAAGATTAGACAAATGGCTAACTAGAATAAACAGTGTAGAGAAGACCTTAAATGACCTGATGGAGCTGAAAACCACGGCACGAGAACTACGTGATGCATGTACAAGCTTCAATAGCCGATTTGAACAAGCAGAAGAAAGGGTATCAGTGATAGAAGATCAAATTAATGAAATAAAGCAACAAGAGAAGTTTAGAGAAAAAAAGTAAAAGGAAATGAACAAAGCCTCCAGGAAATATGAGACTATGTGAAAAGACCAAATCTACTTTTGATTGGTGTACCTGAAAGTGACGGGGAGAATGGAACCAAGTTGGAAAACACTCTTCAGGATATTATCCTGGAAAACTTCCTCAACCTAGCAAGGCAGGCCAACATTCAAATTCAGGAAATACAAAGAACAGCACAAAGATACTCCTTGAGAAGAGCAACACCAAGACACATAATTGTCAGATTCACTAAGGTTGAAATGAAGGAAAAATGTTAAGGGCAGCCAGAGAGAAAGGTCGGGTTACCCACAAAGGAAAGCCCATCAGACTAACAGTGGATCTCTCGGAAGAAAGTCTACAAGCCAGAAGAGAGTGGGGGCCAAGATTCAACATTCTTAAAGAAAAGAATTTTCAACCCAGAATTTCATATCCAGCCAAACTAAGCTTCATAAGTGAAGGAGAAATAAAATCCTTTACAGACAAGCAAATGCTGAGAGATTTTGTCACCACCAGGCCTGCCTTACAGGAGCTCCTGAAGGAAGCACTAAACATGGAAAGGAACAACTGGTACCAGCCACTGCAAAAACATGCCAAATTATAAAGACCATTGATGCTAGGAAGAAACTGCGTCAACTAATGGGCAAAATAAACAGCTAACATCATAATGACAGGATCAAATTCACAAACAATATTAACCTTAAATGTAAATGGGCTACATGCCCCAATTAAAAGACACATACCGTCAAATTGGATAAAGAGTCAAGGCCCATCAGTGTGCTGTATTCAGGAGACCCATCTGACCTGTAGAGACACACACAGTCTCAAAATAAAGGGATGGAGGAAGATCTACCAAGCAAATGGAAAGCAAAAAAAAAAAAAAAAAAAAGCAGGGGTTGTAATCCTAGTCTCTGATAAAACAGACTTTAAACCAACAAAGATCAAAAGAGACAAAGAAGGCCATTACATAATGGTAAAAGGATCAATTCACCAAGAAGAGCTAACTATCCTAAGTGTATATGCACCCAATACAGGAGCACCCAGATTCATAAAACAAGTCCTTAGAGACCTAGAAAGACACTTAGACTCCCACACAATAATAATGGGAGACTTTAACACCCCACTGTCAATATTAGACAGATCAATGAGACAGAAGGTTAACAAGGATATCCAGGTGAACTCAGCTCTGCACCAAGTAGACCTAATAGACATCTACACAACTCTCCACCCCAAATCAACAGAATATACATTCTTCTCAGCACCACATCGCACTTATTCTAAAATTGACCACATAGTTGGAAGTAAAGCACTCCTCAGCAAATGTAAAAGAACAGAAATCACAACAAACTCTCTCTCAGACTACAGTGCAATCAAATTAGAACTCAAGATTAATAAACCCACTCAAAACCACACAACTACATGGAAAGTGAACAACTGCTCCTGAATGACTACTGGGTACATAACGAAATGAAGTCAGACATAAAGATGTTCTTTGAAACTAATGAGAACAAAGACACAACATACCAGAATCTCTGGGACACATTTAGAGCAGTGTGTAGAGGGAAATTTATAGCACTAAATGCCCACAAGAGAAAGCAGGAAAGATCTAAAATTGACACCCTAACATCACAATTAAAGGAACTAGAGAAGCAAGAGCAAACACATTCAAAAGCTAGCAGAAGGCAAGAAATAACTAAGATCAGAGCAGAACTGAAGGAGATAGAGACACAAAAAATCCTTCAAAAAAATCAATGAATCCAGGAGCTGGTTTTTTGAAAAGATTAACAAAATAGATAGACCGCTAGCAAGATGAATAAAGAAGAAAAGAGAGAAGAATCAAATAGATGCAATAAAAAATGATAAAGGGGATATCACCACCAATCCCACAGAAATACAAACTACCATCAGAGAATACTATAAACACCTCTCTGCAAATAAACTAGAAAATCTAGAAGAAATGGATAAATTCCTCGACACATACACCCTCCCAAGACTAAACCAGGAAGAAGTTGAATCTCTGAATAGACCAATAACAGGCTCTGAAATTGAGGCAATAATTAATAGCCTACCACCAAAAAAAGTCCAGGACCAGATGGATTCACAGCCAAATTCTACCAGAGGTAGAAAGAGGAGCTGGTACCATTCCTTCTGAAACTAATCCAGTCAATAGAAAAAGAGGGAATCCTACCTAACTCATTTTATGAGGCCAGCGTCATCCTGATACCAAAGCCTGGCAGAGACACAACAAAAAAAGAGAATTTTAGACTACTATCCCTGATGAATATAGATGTGAAAATCCTCAAAAAAATACTGGCAAACTGAATCCAGCAGCACATCAAAAAGCTTATCCAACAAAATCAAGTTGGATTCATCCCTGGGATGCAAGGCTGGTTCAACATATGCAAATCAGTAAACATAATCCATCACATAAACAGAACCAAGACAAAAACTACATGACTATCTCAATAGATGCCGAAAAGGCTTTTGGCAAAATTTAACAGCACTTCAGCTAAAAACTCTCAATAAACTAGGTATTGATGGAACATATCTCAAAACAATAGGAGCTATTTATGACAAACCCACAGCCAATATCATACTGAATGGACAAAAACTGGAAGCATTCCCTTTGAAAACTGGCACAAGACAAGGATGCCTTCTCTCACCACTCCTACATAGTGTTGGAAGTTCTGGCCAGGGCAATCAGGCAAGAGAAAGAAATAAAGGGTACTTCTTTAGGAAAAGAGGAAGTCAAATTGTCCCTGTTTGCAGATGACATGATTGTATATATAGAAAACCCCATCATCTCAGCCCAAAATCTCCTTAAGCTGATAAGCAACTTCAGCAAAGTCTCAGGTACAAAATCAATGTGCAAAAATCACAAGCATTCCTATACACCAATAACAGAGAGTCAAATCACTAGTGAACTCCCATTCACAATTGTTACAAAGAGAATAAAATACCATGGAATCCAACTTGCAAGGGATGTGAAGGACCTCTTCAAGGAGAACTACAAACCACTGCTCAACAAAATAAAGGAGGACGCAATCAAATGAAAGAACATTCTATGCTCATGGATAGGAAGAATCAATATCATGAAAATGGCCATACTGCCCAAGGTAATTTATAGATTCAATGCCATCCCCATCAAGCTACCAATGACTTACTTTCTTCACAGAATTGGAAACAACGACTTTAAAGTTCATATGAAACCAAAAAGGAGCCCACATTGCCAAGACAATCCTAAGCAAAAAGGACAAAGCTGGAGGCATCACACTACCTGACTTCAAACTATACTACAAGGCTACAGTAACCAAAACAGCATGGTACTGGTACCAAAACAGATGTATAGACCAATGGAACAGAACAGAGACCTCAGAAATAACACCACACATCTACAACCATCTGATCTTTGACAAACCTGACAAAAACAAGCAATGGGGAAAGGATTGCCTATTTAATAAATGGTGCTGGGAAAACTGGTTAGCCATATGTAGAAAGCTGAAACTGGATCCCTTCTTTACACCTTATACAAAAATTAATTCAAGATGGATTAAAGACTTAAATGTTAGACCTAAAACCATAAAAACCCTAGAAGAAAACCTAGGCAATACCATTCAGGACATAGGCATGGGCAAAGACTTCATGACTGAAACACCAAAAGCAATGGCAACAAAAGCCAAAATAGACAAATGGGATCTAATTAAACTAAGGAGCTTCTGCGCGGCAAAAGAAATTACCATCAGAGTGAACAGGCAACCTACAGAATGTGAGAAAATTTTTGCAATCTACCCATCTGACAAAGGGCTGATATCCAGAATCAACAGACTTAAACAAATTTACAAGAAATAAACGACCCCATCAAAAAGTGGGCAAAGGATATGAACAGACACTTCTCAAAAGAAGACATTTATGCAGCCAACAGACACATAAAAAATGCTCAAAATCACTGGTCATCAGAGAAATGCAAATCAAAACCACACTGAGATACCATCTCACACCAGTTAGAATGACAATCATTAAAAAGTCAGGAAACAACAGATGCTGGAGAGGATGTAGAGAAATAGGAAAGGTTTTACACTGTTGGTGGGAGTGTAAACTAATTCAACCATTGTGGAAGACTGTGGCAATTCCTCAAGGATCTAAAACTAGAAATATCATTTGACCCAGCAATCCCATTACTGGGTATATGCCCAAAGGATTATAAATCATGCTACTATAAAGACATATGCACACGTATGTCTATTGCGGCACTATTCACAATAGCAAAAACTTGGAACCAACCCAAATGTCCATCAATGATAGACTAGATTAAGAAAATGTGGCACATATACACCATGGAATACTATGCAGCCATAAAAAAGCATGAGTTCATGTCCTTTGCAAGGACATGGATGCAGCTGGAAACCATCATTCTGAGCAAACTGTCACAAGAACAGAAAACTAAACACCGCATGTTCTCACTCATAGGTGGGAATTGAACAATGAGCACACTTGGACACAGGGTGGGGAACATCACACCCGGGGGGCCTGTCGTGGGGTCGGGGGGAAGGGGAGGGATAGCATTAGGAAAAATACCTAACGTAAATGACGGGTTACTGGGTGCAGCAAACCAACATGGCACATGTATACCTACGTAACAAACCTGCACGTTGTGCACATGTACCCTAAAACTTAAAGTATATATATAAAAAATACTATTCAGTAGGATTTTATTAATTCTGTATGTTAAGAATATGCTGTATGCATTAACTTTTCATTTACTGAGCAAAAGTTTTTTGATTTTGGTATTTGGTTAATAAATGAACAATAATTTTATTCTATAATGTTCAGAATATTTTAGAATTCATTTGGTGTTGTCGAGCAAAAAATTTATGAAAGGATATAGCTCATTTATTTTTCTTTTCAATTATATTTCATGAAGTTCAAGTGTGAAGGTATAGTTTGTGCTCATCAATTAATATATCCTGTCATGCCTAAAAATGTTGGATTTATACTTTTCTATAGTCCTAATATTTAACTTGAAAATCTTCTTGGGGACTTCTTTTAAGTTCAGTGTTTCTAAGAAGTTCTTAGTTTGTTAATTTTTTTCCAAGCTGATTTAGAAACTTTTTGAATGCATCTTAAAATTTTTTGAAGAAATACATTTTTTCTTTGTGTGCTATAAAGTACTCCAGTACTCCTTTAGAATACGTGTATGAGGTAACAGAACTAACATCTTTGTGGAAACTGCTTTTCTTGTGTAGTTACCTTATTGCGCCTATTGTGTCTGGGAGAAGTCACTGATTTTTCTGGATATTCTCCAAATGTCTTTACCAGTGTTTAGCATTATAATAGGAGTCAAGTCTTTTTTTTTTCCACTATAATTTCAGATCGTGAATGTACTCCAGAATAAATATAGTACATAGTTTGTCTTTGCAATGCAAAACCTCAGTCATGTGCCTCCCCACCCCTCCTGGGGGTTAATATTAGGAATTAGAATAAGTCAATGAAATATGGGAACATATTTCATGATCTCACTCATGGCCTGCTTGAGAGGGCCTGAAATAACTACTGAGTAAAAAATAATATTAATCTTAATTGAATTTTCCTAAAGTTAATTGTGATAATGGTTATTTTTCTACTAGGTAAATCAACTGCTTTTTTGAGAATAAATGCCTAAATGAAATCCTGCTTATTTCAATCTATTTAATGCATCTTTAACCTTGAATCAGCATTAGAGTTGTGGCTGTTTTTATTATTATAATTTAACCTCAGTTTTAATATCATATTTAGATTAACTATTTAACAGCTGAACTTGTAATAGCTGTGCATGTTGAGGGCCGCTTCCTGCTAATACCTTTGATTTTCTGTCTGGGGACTTCCTTTTTGACCACTGGGGCATGAATGCCCTGCTCATACAAAGGCTAAGCCAGGAGTGCAGGGGAATTAACTTCAGAAACAGCTCACAAGCAGTGTTAAGGGGGAAGCTAGTAATGACTATCACAGTTTTCTCACCCCTTCATCTGATTAACTTTGAGGCATATTCTACCTCAGTACTTTACAAACTTTATCATTTGGGGATCCTGTTAAAAATTCACATCCTGATTCAGTGGATTTGTGGTAGAGCTTCAGATGATGATGATGATGATGATGATGATGATGATGATGATGATGATGGTCCGCTTTGAGTAGCAGGCTCTACACTGTCTCTCAGAATTCCCCAGTGGAATTCAGCTTCATTTGCCCTCAGTGGTAACTTTCTTGATTATTCTCCTTTGGTTGGTTTTCTTCTCTTGCCTGTTTCTCACTTCTCTATTCCCCTACTAGTGTTTCCTACTTGCATGTGAATTCTTATTTCAGGTTGCTTCTGGGGTAACCCAAGCCAAGAATATGCATCTATCTATTTATCTATCTGCTCACCTATCCATCCATCTATTCATCTACATCTATCCATCCATCCATCCATCCATCCATCCATCCATCCATCCATCCATCCATCCATTTACCTATCTATCTAGCTATGTAATGCATTCATCTATCTTCTATTTATCTATTTATGTAATCTATTTATCTATCTTATCTATCATGTGTCTAATATATTCATTTATCCACCTATCTATTCATCTACCTAATCTATTCATCTATGTATCTACTATTTATCTAATCTATTCATCTATCCATCTATCTAATCTGTCTACCTACTTACCTACCTATCTGGAACATAGCAACAGAGCACAGCCTCTTAAAAAATCCAGTAAATTGAAGAGCTGAAAGAGAAAGAATGAAGACATACTGGAGGGGGTGGAAAGGAAAAGTTGATGACTACCACCTAAAGGGACTTTTTCTTCCTCCTTGTGTCATTTTCAACAGGATGTGGTATCATGGAGCTCTGGTGAAAGAAGAGACTAGGCAGTTAGCTATGGCTACATAAATGGGACAGCTCCAGAAGTCCATGGAGGGATCCCCTTTCTACTAGGAAAGATGGGCAAGGACTTTATGCCTGATTCTATTATTCAGGGCACATTGCTGACAGGGTTGGCCAGTGAGGCCATAGAGAGAAGGCAGGCCAAATGCTAATCTTGGAAAGGACGGAAATCAGCATAAGCAGAGAGACACAGGGTGAAGTGGTAGCGGAGAGCGGATGCCACAGTGTGTGGGCTTGTGGGTCAGCCCTATTAAAGGGAGGAAATCAGTAAATGGGCTTGCAGATGGTTACCCAAGATTTCTTCATGACTTTGTGCAGCCTGTACAATGTATGCTCCTTATCTTGTGGGAGTGTAATTGAGAGCCCTGGACTTCCTCAGCTCAGATCCCAACTCTGCCACCTCCTGGTTATGCTACCTTAGCATGTGTATTCAACCTCTTTAAGCATCGGTCTTCCCATCTATGTAGTGGGGACAGTAATTCCTATTTCATGGGATTGTCATAAAAATTAAATGAGATATTTTGTACAAAGTGCTGCCTTTATTACAGCTGGAGGATAAGAGAGCAGCCCTGATACTGTAAATATTCCCAAGAATGATGAGGAAATGACGGTGGACCTTTTACTTGATTCCAGCGTTATGAACACACACACACATACACACACAGATATAAGCACACATATGTTTAATAGCATATAGGTAGAAAGCCACAGGAGCGGTAATACCCTGATTATGTAAATCAACCCCAGCTCTAACAGCTAAAAAACCCTACTGCTGCTCTTAGCTATGCATGAAATCACCCCCATGAAACTTCTTTGAATAAAGCAAACATCTGTTCTTGGTGGAATGCAAAAGAGAAACTTTATTTGAAGTTCCTGCTTCCCCTTCTCATTAAAAGTATTTCGAGCACTATTAAAATAGTTTCTGCCAAGAGCACTTTTTGTGCTCTTCAGTTTCTTAGGTTCACTGGCCTGAGAACCAGCATTCAGCATTCTTAGTCCCACCATAGCTGGGAGTCTGGGGTCTGGGAAAGGGATAGAGTCAGTTTGTTTTTGCCATCAAGACCCTCTGATCGCCTCAGATGGTCTCACCTGCTATTGCTTCTTTCCCGTCCTGACAGGTTGATATTCTGGAAGCAAGATCTTGGAAGGCCAAGGACAGGTCATTTCTTAGGACTGTGCAAAAGAGAATCAGTCTTTACAGTAAGCTATTTGATTCTAGTAGTTCTTTCATCTCAGTCTTTTGAAAGCAACTTCCCCTCTTTAACCAACACCTGCCATGGCCTCTTCATGAGCCGAAGAAGGTGAGTGCTGATGGAAATCCCAGATGTGGCCAAAACTCCCCAGCAGCAGACAGGTCAAAGGTCTTTTGTACCCTTTCCCGTAACGGGTGGCACTTGATCTTCAGAGTGGCTTACACTGTTCAAGAGGGTTTGAATCATAAGACATTTGGGGTTAAAAAAAAAAACCTGTCATTTTGCATTTTGATTTTTGTAGAGCCAACTACAACGTATTTGAAAATTGTGTTCTTGAAATAAGCCTGTAATAGTAGGTGTCAAAAGTATCAGAGATAAAATGTCTACTCTTTTAGTGGCGTAAGTTGTCGTTGTTTCAAATTACATTTCCTTGTACTATATGATGGATGTACTATGCACACACACTTTATCACACACGTGTGTGTGTGGGAGTGGAAATGTGTAGGTAGTCAGAGAGGGAAGAATAAAGAATTCATGCTAATGTCTAAATAAATGAATTAATTAGTGAAATAAATAGATTCCTGTTTACACTATACTACAATTTTTAAGGATAACCAGTTGTTAATTAATACACTGGACTTGAAGGAGACTCATTTGTGTTGAAACATGAAATGTTTGTCCTCTCTCCTTCTCCCTCCCACCTGGAAAACATGAAAGATCTGCAACTCACACATACTAGTGTAATTTAAACACACTTTGAAAGAATTGATAGGCTGGGCGTTGTGGCTCACGCCTGTAATCCCAGCACTTTGGGAGGCTGAGGCAGGCGGATCACGAGGTCAGGAGATCCAGACCATCCTGGCTAACACAGTGAAACCCCGTCTCTACTAAAAATACAAAAGAATTAGCCAGGCGTGGTGGCAGGCACCTGTAGTCCCAGCTACTCGGGAGGCTGAGGCAGGAGAATGGTGTGAACCCGGGAGGCAGAGCTTGCAGTGAGCCGAGATTGCGCCACTGCACTTCAGCCTGGGAGACAGCGAGACTCGGTCTCAAAAAAAAAAAAAAAGAATTGATAGGCAGCAATTCTAACCTAAAGGGTTCATATTGAAACCACTGATCATAGATATCTGAATAGGTCCTAATTAATGAGAGAGTGCAACCATTTTCTGCTTGAGGGAATTGCCCATGTTCCAGACTGCAGACTTGACATTCACATGCCATGAGAAAACATGGATTCAAATACAGAGACCCTAGGCTATTTCCTGGAGCTCCAACGATGTCATCAGAAACAAAAATGTTCCATTTGACAACCATGAGATTTGACACTATTGACCTACATGGAAGTTTTTAACACTGCCACTCATTCTGCCATGTGTAAAGGGGTTCAGCAGGGTGACCTCAGGGATGCATACATGCATTTTCTCCACACGTCCTCCTTAATTCAAGGATCATATCTGTGGCTCCCCTAGCAAAGAATCAAAGGCCAAAGGTGGGTGGCCCAGACTCTTTCTCGTACTGGGGAACACAGGCAACAGCTGCGGCATATCACTGAGCTTGGCTGCTGACAGGGAAAAGCATTGATAATTTCATCAGATCTCACAGATCAGAAACAACAGAATACCCTCCCGCTAATTGGTGGCCACCGTGACCGCTATAGTTGGTTTGATTGAAATCAGTATTTAAATGATATTTTTAAATTGTGGTGAAATACACGTAACATAAAATTTACCATCTTAACCATTTTTTTAGTGTATAGTTCAGTCGTGTTAAGTATGTTTACAGTGTTGTGCAACCAATTCCAGAACTGTTTCATCTTGCAGAACTGAAACTCAATGCCCATTAAGCAATTCCCATTTCCCACTCTCCACAGCCCCTGGCAACTGCAATTCAACTTTCTCTCTCTACAAATTTGGCTACTTTAGGTACCTCACGTAAGCGGAATCATACAGTGTTTGTTCTTTTGTGACTGACTTATTTCACTAAGCATTTTGCTCTCAAGGTGCATCCATGTTGTAGCGTGTGTCAGAATTTCCATTCTTTTTAAGGCAGAATAATATTCCATTGTATAAATATACCACACGTTTATCCATTTACTTGTCAATGGATACTTGGGTTTCTTCCACCTTTTGGCGATTGTGAATGATGCTGCTATGAGTGGGGGCGTAGAATCAGTGTATTTAATTCTAACACTAAAAGGCTCATATTCCGTTGCATGACTAACCCACTCTATGATCCTCAGGAAGTCATGTGTTTTGTAGAGAGCATACAGTTGTTCTAATTCAGGGATCCCTTTGGATCCATGATACTCATTAATATAGCTGAGTGGAGTTAGAGAATCTGTAGGCATGGAGCAGAAAGAAAGCTTAGCCAGTCTAAAAGTTGATGTAAATTTAAATCTTGGACTCCTTAGCACTAAATTTTCATTGCCCAGACTGTTCCAGCCAAGATTCACTGAGTGGATATTACCCAAAAGTTCCACCCTTATTGATAAAACAGTCATGGCTAACACTTGCATAGTGTTTAAAATGTTCTAGACCCCATTTTTAAGCTACGTACACTATCATCATCATAACTGTTTTACAGATGGGAAAATGAGTCTGGGTAGTTAAGTCCCTTGCCTAGTGTATGCAGTTAGTCGGGGCTGGTGTTTGAATGCAGGTAGTTTCACTCCAAAGTTCACGCACTTCACCATGATACTGTGGACATACATGGATAGATGTATATGGGAAAGTATATGATTGGGTGTTTTGGCAATCAGCAATAAGAGGAGACACATTAGAACTCCAAATCAATATTGTTAAAGAATGGTGCAACACACGTATGTTTATTGCGGCACTATTCACAATAGCAAAGACTTGGAACCAACCCAAATGTCCAACAATGATAGACTGGATTAAGAAAATGTGGCACATATACACCATGGAATATTATGCAGCCATAAAAAATGAGTTCAGGTCCTTTGTAGGGACATGGATGAAACTGGAAATCATCATTCTCAGTAAACTATCGCAAGGACAAAAAACCAAGCACTGCATGTTCTCACTCATAGGTGGGAATTGAACAATGAGAACACATGGACGCAGGAAGGGGAACATCACACTCTGGGGACTGTTGTGGGGTGGGGGGAGGGGGGAGGGATAGCATTAGGAGATATACCTAATGCTAAATGACGAGTTAATGGGTGCAACACACCAGCATGGCACATGTATACATATGTAACTAACCTGCACATTGTGCACATGTACCCTAAAACTTAAAGTATAATAATAATAAAATTTAAAAAAAAATGGTGCAACAGCATAAAATAGAAAGTCCTCTGGTTTTCAAGTTGCACACAACTAATTGGAATCCCAGCTCGGCCAGCAGCTATTTGATAACACTGACCAAGTTTTTATCCTCTTGGCTTCAGTTTCCTTATGTGAAAATGAGAATAATAACATCCACTTAACTCAGTTGTGGAAAATTAAGAAAATAATGTTGTCAAGTGCTTAGCTTATAGTAGGTACTCAATAAATGTTAGTTCTCTTCACTCTTTTGGGGCAAGAGAAGAATGTGATCTCAAAAAACAGAAATATGTTGGCTGGGTGTGGTGGCTCATGCTTGTAATCCCAGCACTTTGGGAGGCCAAGGCAGGCAGATCACGAGGTCAGGAGATGACACCATCCTGGCCAACATGGTGAAACTCTGTCTCTACTAAAAATACAAAAATTAGCTGTGCATGGTGGCTCGTGCCTATAATCCCAGCTACTCGGGAGGCTGAGGCAGGAGGATCACCTGAACCAGGGAATAGGAAGTTGCAGTGAGCTGAGATCGCGCCATTGCACTCCAGCCTGGTGACAGAGCGAGATTCCGCCTCAAAAAAACAAAAACAAAAAAACAAAACAGAAATATGTTTTCATAAAGGCATATGTTGCATAAACACTTTTTTAAATGATTGCCATTAAATATGAACACTTATACCACTTTATTTTTCTTGTGTACACGGAACTTAACATTTTAATTGCCTCCTCTCTTGTGTTCTGCCAGAATCTGTTCACAAATGCAAGAGACACGTGATGTTGGAAACCTAACAACAGGTCCTAGTAAAATCAACCTTGTATTTTCTTCAAGTGGAGAAAGAGCTTTAAATGACAAGATAGGGACTTTGTTAATGGGCTAAATCTACGTTGTCTTTTCCTTGCCCTAGAATTCCATGCCTTTGAATATTTGTCATAAGTCAGCAAGGGAAGTGCTGTCTCTCAGGCTTCACCCAAGGTCATTGTTATGTTTTAGCAGCCACATAATCAAAGTCTTGCCTTTTCTTTTTATTTTTAAAAAATAGTGTAACAATCTAATCAATAGAAAATGCTATAAGTACATTTTTTTGATAAAATAATACTCACATGGAAGCTTAGATATTATTTGTCCAGTTAGATAAGTTGATTCAATAATAACCACACTTGTTAGGATAGTGTTGCACAAGGAAAAATGTCTTCCCATTGCCCCAGTACTCTTTGCTTTGAAGATATACACAGTAAGCCACCAAAGGGCCAATGTGAGATGCACAGAAATTCAGATCTGCCACTTTTTTTTTTTGAGACGGGTTCTGGCTCTGTTCCCCCAGGCTGGAGTGCAGTGGCACAATCTCAGCTCACTGCAACCTCCACCTCCCGGGTTCAAGCAATTCTTCTGCCTCAGCCTCCTGAGTAGCTGGGATTACAGGCACGCACCACCATGCCCAGCTAATTTTTATATTTTTGGTAGAGACGGGGTTTCACCGTGTTAGCCAGGATGGTCTCTATCTCCTGAACTCGTGATCTGCCCGCCTCGGCCTCCCAAAGTGCTGGGATTACAGGCGTGAGCCACTGCGCCCAGCCCAGATCTGCCACTCTTAAAAGGAAGGTAGAGAAGAAGTTTCTTCATAGAGATTGAAGGATAGCATATATCTTTATGTGGAGACTTACATCTCCATACATGTATAGACAACAAATATTTCCATGTTGTTTCTCACTATTACCCCTCTTTTCTTTGTAATGTTTTTCTTTGAGCAAAAAGTTTAACTCTTTAATTTGTTTCCTCTGTATGATGTTTAGGGATTGATTTCCATTAAATATCAAAAGAATGGCAAGTTCAAACAAGCTTAAGAAGCTATGGAACTGTCTGTAAGATGGATTCTATTTTCCATTTGTGCACGAAATACCTTGTTATCCACATTATTTGAAGTTCTAGCCTACAGAGAGATAAGGACATTTGATTGAGTGTGAAAGGTAGGAATGGAAGTGTGGGTTGTTTAACCTTATTGGACTCTGTTGTTGATTTCCAGATGGCAAAATGCATGTCCAGCCTCCAGTGACGCTGCATGGAGGGTTGGTGCTTTACTGAATGAAAGTGTTAACTGGAAAAACTTCCCTTACCTGGAAACAGATGAAGTCCTATAACTTTTAAGACCTGGCTCTTTTTGCGTATTATGGTAGTTTGTGCTTTCTGATATCTTTTCTTTCTTTCTTTCTCTTTCTTCCTTTCTTTCTTTTTTTGAGACGGAGTCTTGCTCTGTTGCCAGGCTGGAGTGCAGTGGCATGATCTCGGCTCACTGCAACCTCTGCCTCCCAGGTTCAAGTGATTCTTCTGCCTCAGCCTCCCAAGTAGCTGGGACTACAAGAGTGTGCCACCATGCCTAGCTAATTTTTTTTGTATTTTTGGTAGACACGGGGTTTTACCATGTTGGCCAGGAGGGTGTTGATCTCTTGACCCAGTGATCCGCCGGCCTCGGCCTCCCAAAAGTGCTGGGATTACAGGCATGAGCCACCACGCCCGGCCCTGATTATCTTTTCTTGAACAATCATATCCCTTCTTTGGAGTGACTGGATGTCTGCTGTCAACATTTACATCAAATCATATTTTTCCCTTAGGCCAACCCTGCCCACAATCACTCTTGAACTATTAGGTTACTGCTATAAAACACTATTCACAAATTTTAAAAGGTAATTACTGTTTGCATCTTTAAGTTCTCAGGAACAATTTTGTTGGTTATTCTGCACCTTATAATATTAGTCTATTCCCATTTTAGAGACAAAACTAAGCATGAGATAGGATAGTGACTGGTTGAGAAGTTAGCAGTGAATTGTGGTTCAAGGTGAGAATTCACAGACTTTGGTCCACTGAGCCATGTTTCCCATGCTTACATGTCTGTGAAACAGCTGCAGCTGAAACTCTGAGAAATATTCTCTGCAAAGTGGAATATTTTAAAAGAACCAAGATCTCCTTCCCCTCTTCTCTTCATACAAGAATCTGCCCCATTTCTCATAGCTATTCACCCTCCTTGGTTTGAGCACCCTGGGACAGCAACTCATTGTAGATCCAGTATCTCCATTTGACAAAAGGTGCTTCTCCCAGTAGGGAAAGCCCCTAAAAATCTACTTCTTGGGCTTTGACATTGGCCAGTATTTTGGGACAAGGGTTTTCAGAAATAATTTTTCAAAGGGGAAATGTTGCATTCCTTAGCTAGATTATTGAACTGGAAGTTCGTGAGCCTTGTCCCTATAATTTATAAATCGGTTTAGTCCTTTGCATCTCAAGGTGTCATCTCTTTGCTTTTAACCTCTGTCATTTTTTCCTTTCTTTTCCCCTTGTTGTCTTCTTTCTCTCTGTATATGTTTCTATCATTTTTTTTCTTTATCTCATGTTTATATTTCTCTCTGGGCTGTTTTTCTATGTTTTGTCTTTGTACTTCTTTCCTTGCTCTTATTTACCTTTTGCCATAATTTCAGTGAATGTTTATTGGACACCTATTTCAAACTAAGGAGTGGGCTGAATACTAAAGAGATAGAATGAAAGTCTTTGCCCTTCAAGAAAATCAGCACTCTTGTAAAACCTGTTGCCTCTCTTAATTAACCATGATAGAAAACTGAGTTATCTTTCCTGGCTTTGTCTTATGTTTCTCACAGTTAACTGAAAAAGAGAAAGAAAATTAAATATGTTATATTTCCTATTGCAAAGAAAAAAAAGATCATCTAAGTGGGTTTGTTTTTTTACCTTTTTTTGACACCCAGTTGATTTTATATATTTTACACCAATGGGCCTTGGCTGAAAACAACATAATGAAACAGTGTATTCATCTCCACCTGATTCTTTTTCCTCTGGCATGAAAACAAAAATGTTAGGCCAGCGCGGTGTCTCATGCTTGTAATCCCAGCACTTTGGGAGGCCAAGATGGGTGGATCACATGAGGTCAGGAGTTCGAGACCAGCCTGACCAACATGATGAAACCCTGTCTCTACTGAAAATACAAAATTAGTTGCGCATGCTGGCACATGCCTGTGATCCCAGCTACCTGGGAGGCTGAAGCAGGAGAATTGCTTGAACCTGGGAGACGGAGGTTGCAGTGAGCCAAGATCGCGCCATTGCACTCCAGCCTGGGCAACAAGAGCGAGACTCTGTCTCAATTAAACAAAAACAACAAACAAACAAAATGCTAATAATATGGGTCAGGTTCTCTGAGATCCTATTGGTTCATCTCTCATCAGTAAGCAATGAAGCAGTGCCTTATGGTTGGCTTACATGCAGACACTTCCAGTCTTTCACGTAGTGAATTGCGTGAGACTAACAGTGCTCAGCCTCGGGCTTGCCTCAGAGCCACCTGGAGGGCTTGTTAAAGCACCTGTTTCTGGGCCCCACCCCTAGAGTTTCTGATTCAGCAAGTCCAGGCAGGGGCCTGAGAATCTGCATTTCTTACAACTTCCTGAGTGATGCTGATGTTGCTGCTTCTGGGACTAAATAGTTCAGAGACAATTTTGCGGGTAGGGTTTTGGTGGCAGATCTATTCACTTATCCTCATTTTTTTTTTTTGTTCAGAATAGTGAATCTTTGATGTAGCTTGAATGTTTGTCCCCTCCAAGTCTCATGTTGACATGTGATCCCCAGTGTTGCAGGTGGGGCCTGGTGGGAGGTGTTTGGGTCATGAGGTGGATTCCTCGGGACAGTTTGATGCCATTCTGACAAGATGGAGTGAGTTCTTACTCTTGGCTCCTGCAAGATCTGGTTGTTAAGTCTGCTGCCTCCTTCCCCTCTCTTTGGCCTCCTCCTCTCTTGTCCTGTGACTTATTTTCTCCCCCTTCACCTTCCACCATGAGTAGAAACTTCATGAGGACTTCACCAGAAGCTGAGCAGATGCTGGTACCGTGCTTCCTGTATAACCTGCAGAACCATGAGCCAAATAAATCTCTTTTCTTTATGAATTACCCAGCCCCAGGCATTCCATTATAGCAATGCAAATGGACTAAGACAACCTTTAAAAAAACTAATAAATAAAAATATCATTTAATACACTATTCTTTATTTTCCTATGAGTGAAGAGCATAAACATTATTCTCAAGAGTCTCAGAACTTCCAGCCTTGGCCAAGATACAAAGGGCAGGGGACCCTTCTTTAGATGCTACTTGGTGTTTGCACACCTCTCTCAGCTGTGTCAGACATTGCTAAGGAGCTTTGTAGTCAACTCTGGCAATATTGTTTTTTTAAGCCAAGGAGCAAAAACATGAGCATGGCTCAATATTAAATGTTGACTTTAAAGTCCTCCTGCTCTTACTGTTTTTGTAATTTAAAGAAATCTAATCCCTTCATATGGCCCTGCTGTGCCTCTCCCTGGCATCATATTTGTTTGGGCTTTGGAGTCAACATTAATACAATGATTTAAAGGAAAAAGAAAACAGCAACCTTAAAAGCCGGGGTTTCTTTTAGACCCAGGCCATGGACAGGCCAACCGTATGGGTGTGGATGTAGGACATCTGCATGTTTCTGCGAAGAGCACATGTGTGAGGGAGAAATGGGGAGCACTGGGGCCACCCAACTTATGAAACAGAGAAAGGCTTTACTGCTTAAAAACCTTAAGGATCAGGTCGGCAGGTGGCTTGGGTGACACAGGAAAGAATTTGGGGATTTAAAAAACCTACAAATGATGTTTATTTTTTATTTTTATTTTTTGAGGTAGAATTTTGCTGTTTTGCCCAGGCTGGAGTGAAGTGGTATCATCTTGGCTCACTGCAACCTCCGCCCACCCAGGTTCAAGCTATTCTCCTGCCTCAGCCTTCTGAGTAGCTGGGATTATAGGCACCCACTGCCACACCTGGCTAATTTTTGTATTTTTAGTAGAGACGGGGTTTCACCACGTTGGCCAGGCTGGTCTCGAACTCCTGACCTCAGGTGATTCACCCGCCTCAGCTTCCCAAAGTACTAGGATTACAGGTGTAAGCCACTGCACACGGCCTACAAATGATGTTTAAATGTTATTTAATACATTGAAGTCTCCAAGAAGACAGTTTTATTAACTCTCTGATTTTCAATTCACTCCAGTAATAGTGAACTTTTGCTTCTCAAATGAGAACCTTCTTAATTTTCTGAGACTAACTCTAAGCTCTAACTCTAAGCTGTTATAATATTTTTCTTTTTCCTTTTTTTTTTTTTTTTTCTTGAGACGGAGTCTCACTATGTTGCCCAGGCTGGAGTGCAGTGGCATGATCTTGGCTCACTGCAACCTCTGCCTCCCAGGTTTGAGTGATTCTCCTGCCTCAGCCTCCTGAGTAGCTGGGATTACAGACGCACACCACCACGCCCGGCTAATTTTTGTATTATTAGTTGAGGCAGGGTTTCACCATGTTGGGCAGGCTGGTCTCGAACTGACCTCGTGATCCACCCGCCTCAGGCTCCCAAAGTGCTGGGATTACAGGCATGAGCCACCGCGCCAATATTTTTCATTTGAACCATAAAAAAAATTCACTGTGAGTACTGAAAGTATTTTTTACTTACAAATATCATACTATTTTTTGTTTTTGTCTTTTTTAAAGACAGTGTGTCACTGTACCCTGCCCATGCTATCTTTTAAATTTATTCAGCAGACTCAACCTTTGGGCCCCAATGTAATGGCGTAGAGAACATTTCATATCAACTCATTCATCTTGTCTGTCCATTTGTTCTTGGCCTTGGTAGAACTGGAAAACTTCTGACACATAGACCTGACTGGGAGGGGGGAAATTTTAATGTTACAACCGAAGAACCACAGGAAGGGATATCCCAACTCTATTCCCATGGACTCGTGATTTCCCCAAGAGGCAAACACAGCAGATCACTTCGTCCATCATCTTCTTTGGTCTTTTAAAGAGCACAGCTTTTCCGGGACATGGACAGAAACCCCAGAGACAATTGAACTCATTGAGAAGCTGATTCCTTGTGCTGGGGACCAGGCTAACCCTGAATAAAGGAAGTCTTGCTCTCACTGTAGACTCTTTGCAACCTGTTTAAATCAAAGGAATTAATCCACACTGCAGCACACAGCTTATTTGTGATCATTAAGTGAAGTAGTGAAGAGGGGAACAAATGTTGTATACTCAGAGACACAGCCAATGTCATCCCCATGTGAGACGTGCTTGCTGGCTTGTGTGTTAAAGAGTGACTGGACTCCCATTCCTGTATGTTGAGGTTTCTCTAAACTCCAGTTCTGCCTTCCCAGTCAACAGAGGCTAAAGATACTAGGGAACATTATATGTTTTGTTCCTCTCTGTACATAGTTTTTCAGGTACCCAGGTTTTGCAACTTCACTACCTCTTCTTTGCTATTGTTAGGAATAAATACTATGGAGGTGGTGAGGGGACAAAAGAGCATACTGAAAAGGGCATGAGACAGGAGAGAGGATGGCAGATCCAAAACTCGGGGTGGGGAAAGAGCTTACCTGAATGATTTAAGACCCAGAAAAAGATGAGAACAGATACCCTGGGTGAATGTATCAGAGACCAGAGGCTGGTGAACCACTTCCAGAAAACCTGTGCCTCAGGCCTGAATGAAGCAGAATTCCTGAAGTCAGCCAAAGGAAGACCAGTCTGATGGTTCACAGAGGTGACCCAAGGAGGCAGCTGGCACAGAGGCCAGGTAGGAAGTGCCGCAATAGTGGCTGGCCCCTGGCAGTGCAGGAGAATCACCTGGAGCTTTGGGAGAATGCCAAGGTCTGGAGAAACACATATCTGTTATGAAGTTCATAAACAGGCAGAAGTAAATAATATATGTTTTAGATATACATACATTTGCATATAGATATAATAAAAGCATTTTCAAAACAAAGATGTAAAAATTCAGGGTCACGTTTACCTCTGGTGTAGGTAAATGAATGCATTAGTTGAGGATCACATGGATAATGAACTAATTATGATGTCCTGGCTCTTAAAGCAGGTGGCAAGTTCACGGGTATTTGTTATATTATTAAAATTGGACTACATGAAAGATGCACCCATGCAGTGGTGATGCATGTGCCATGAATCAAGATTCAAACTTTTCCAGTTCTAAGCACCTGAGATGCGATTTAGAAATGTACTAATGCTGCTATTTAAAAATTAGGACGGCTACTATTAGGCCATCTTAATTTGGATGGCTACTATTAAAAACATTAGAAAATAAGTGTTGGCGAGGATGTAGAGAAGATAGAACCCTCATGCACTCTTGGTGGGAATGTAAAATGGTGCATGCAGCCAGTGTGGAAAATAGCGTGTGGTTCCTCAAAAAATTAAACATTGAATTACCAGATGCTCTAGCAATACCATTTCTGGATATATATCTAAAATAATCACCACATACAGTGGCTCATGCCTATAATCTCAGCATTTTGGGATCTGGGAGCCCTCCCTTGGCTAGGGGCTATTTTCTAGGGTGTGAAAGAATGTGATACATGTGCTCTGTCCACTTCCCTGTCCCGTGGCACAGGGACAATCAGAAAGTCCCCTCTGCTGGGAGAAGGTCACGGTCCAAGATGACAGGTAAACCCAAGGTCAGAAGCCCAGGGCTCTTGAGGATGCCAACTGGCTCCACCGTATCGGGTGATTTCTCACATTCCTGGGGCCAAGTCTCCTGTTTTGTAACAGTTCAGTCAAGGATTTTACTGGAGTAGACAAGCATGAAATGAATTTTCCAGAGACGTTTCCGAAGTGGGGGAAAGTTCATGGCTCCAAGGCACCGGTGGATAATGAAACAAAACTGCGAGCTTCTGTTTTTCTTTAGAAAGAGGGCTTCCCAGTTTTTAAAATCTGGATTTCTAAAACTTGAGCTGTATTTTCAACTCTCAGCTCAGCTTTGCCCTCTCACCCTGGTGTTGCAAGTGGATTCTGCGCTGCTTCTGAATTACCCAGGTGGGCTGCCCGGGTTCTGCAAAGCACTGCAATATCGCTCAGAGCAGGTGCTCTTCAGACCTCTGGTTGCGATTACTCTCAGCGCAGGGTCACCACCACCCAGAGGGACACACTTGGAGCAAACTTAGTGAAGGGCGCTTGCCTTAATCAGCTGGTAATCGCCCATTATCAGTCTTTATTAGACTGTTGTTTATTTTAAGGAACTCGTCTTTGATTTATGTAAAACCAAATACTTAGTTTCAAAATGAAAACTAAAAAAAACCTGGCCATCCTTTTTCACTTTTGGCATTACCTACCCCGCACTTGTCTTTGATATACATATGTACAGAAACCAATTTTGGGCTCCCAGACCTAGGAGAAATAAGGAAAATAAAAAACAAAAATCAGTTTTATAAAACATGCTAATAAAAATACTTCGATTCATACTCATCCACCACTCACTGAATCTGCCGGTTCTGAACCTCGCTTCCACTGTTTGACCTTGAGTAACTTATTTAATAAATCAGTGAGACTCAGTTACCTCTAAATTGGAATAATAATACCTATTTGGAGGGGACTATTATAAGAATTAAGTAAAATACCATATACTGCCTCTTGGAATCACTCCTTTATCTCTATTAAAATTATTACCATCAGAATGCAGATCTCCAGTTTACTACACTTTACACCCTAGTTGCAGATGTGGTATCAAGGACTGACTCCAAGCTTATGTCCTTGCAACTAGCCTGACACTGACAAACGTTTCCCTTCCTGAAACACCAGCCCCTTGATACCACCCTTGCTTGAGGTTTCCAGTAGCTTCTTACTGCCTGTCCATACCAGCTGCAGCTCAAAACCCACCATAGCTTCATCCCGTTCCACTTCTATGACTATACTAAATGTTGCCTGTTTCCATCGGAGTGCCCTTTTAAACCCTTTTTCCTGGAGGTAGGAAAGTCTAACTTAGTTTTTCTAACTGCTTTTTGTTTTGTACATGTCTCTATCTTCCCACTCTTTCCTCACCACCCACTTCTTTCTCTCTAGCAAAATCCGTGTGCATCCAATAGGATTTACCTGCAGACCAGCCCCTCCCAGAAAATAGTCCCAACGTCGCCAGTCCACTCTGATCTTAGCCCCTCACTGAGCTCCGGCTGTCCCTGTAATCCTGACCGTGCTTTCACGCTTTTCATGGCTGAAGAGTCCTGCAAAATATGGAAACCCAGAGAAAAATGGTTAACAAACACTGACTATGATTTTCCTGATTGCACAGCTCAAGAGATTGAGTTCAACCACTTAAACTAGCTCAGATGTGGCACCTCTTAATCAAACCCTGTCTTTCTTTAGCCCTTTCTTTTCTCTTTTTCTTCCAATAAAAGAGTACTTAACATTGGATCTTTTATCTTGATCAGCAAAGTTTTATATTTAACTTTTTTCCCCCAAGACGTTTTAGAGGTACTTTATTTTTTTCTATTTTCTAGAGTGTGAAACATGGTATCTTAAAATTTACCTTAAAATTTATCAACATATTTTGTTTTGGATTTTCACAACATACTTATTTTAGATCCTTTGCTTTCACTTTAAAAAATAAAACAATGTCAACACTTCATACTGAAACAAGAGGGCATATTACAGAAAATGTCTTCTATTTCTCCTCTGTAATTGATTTCTAAAATTACTTTGTTACTAAATGTGCTATCTTAAGCTGACTACCAGCTTTTGCAGGCATTTCCTGGAATCAGAATGTTGGAATGCCAAGAGTTGTATGTTTGAAGCAACACACCTGTTAGTTGCAACTTTGTTTTATTCTTTCTTTAGAATTATATACAAAAGATATTATAAAGATACAATGTTCCACAAAGCACAGATGATTTAGTATCTATTTGTAATATGAGCTCATAGCATTACATCAGTGTTTTATAGATACAATGTCATATCCCAAGGCATTGTAGCAATACATTCCATATCACCATCTTTATTTTGTAATTCTTGAGAATAAGAAGAGTTAGCGTCACATAATCTTGGGATTAATGAATTTGAAATAATCACATATGTGAATTTTGTAGCATTTCTAGAATTCCAACAATTGAAAATTATATTTAAGCAACAGCTTTCATAGTTATGACTATGTTTATATTCAGATAAAATAAAATTCACAAAAGAGACAAAAAATAGAAAATATTTGGTGAAGTTTGCTAGTGGAAATCTGATTGGTCTCATAACTTAATCTTTAATTATTTGCTGTCATTAAGGGATATACTACTTAAAACTCAGACTTAAAAGCAAAGATCTCTCTCTAACCTGTTAAAATCCTATGTCCTCTTTGAACACATGTTTAAGGTGAAAATGAAACATGTTATTCCCTCTAATAGAGGGATACTTTGCCAACAAGTAGATTGTCAGGCAATCGAGGAAAAACAAATGGCTTGAGTAATCTAAAAACTGATTGATCCATTCAACAAATGTTTATTGAATGCCTAGTGCGGACAGACATTGTTCTAGGCAGCAGCGATGCAGGGATGAACAAGACCAAGCAAGTCCTTGCTGTTATGGGGCTCACATTCTTGCGGGGGATGGACAAGAATAAATGAGAAAATAAGCCTATAATTATGGTAAGAGCTTTAATGGGAATGAACCAGGCATGGTGATGAGAGGAGGCACTTGCTCTGAAAGAGTCATCAGAGAAGTTTGCTCCAAGGAGCTACCGTGACATCTAAACTAAGATCTGACAAATGAGAAGGGCCCAACTTTATGCAAAGGGGAAAGAATATGCAAGCACCCTGAAGTGGAAGGCACATTGGAGGAGCAAAAAGACAGTCAAAACGGCTGGGATACAGGGAGAGGGGGAGCGAATGGTACAAGGTGAAATGGAGTTTCATAGGGTCTCAGTCAACTAGAGTATTGTATATTGGAGGAAAGCTGTCCATTGTATTTTAAGTGCTTTTAGAAAGGAAATACCTGGATGCTTTCAAGCATAGAAATGACAAGATCTGATTTATATTTTATAAACACCTCTCTGGCTGCTGCGTGGGAATGGATTGTGGAGGGAAAAGTAGAAGCAGAAGGACATGCAGAGACAATTGTGGTCATCCAAGGAAGTGATGGCAGTGGTTGAAATCAGTGTGACAGCAGTGGAGATGGATGAGGCAGATGGATTTGAAATATGCTTTGAAGACAGAGCCACCAGACCCACTGATGGATTAGAAAGGAAAAATCAAGTATTGAGTTCCTGGGTGGGTAGTTGATTCTGTTATCTGAGATTGAAAGGACTAGGGGAGGAACAGGTTAGAAGGTAGGAGAGAATTACTTCATATTTGAGACACCAGTTAAAGAACCTAATGGAGATATTGAGTTGGGTATCTGAGTCTGGAGCCCAGGAGAGAGGTCAGGGATGAAAAGGAGTCTGGGAGTCCCTGGCATATTGACCTCTCAAGTCTTAGGACCAGACTGTTTCACTAGAGAGACAATGTAGGCAGAGAGGCTGGCCTAGAACTATGTCCTGGGAGTACTCCAACATATTAGAGGTTCAGCTGAAGAGGAGACTCCAGCAGAGAAAACATAAGAAACTTCCAGAGAGGCATGAGGAAAACCAGATGAATACAAATGAAAAGAAGCAAGAGGTTTCCATAAAGGAGGTGATCAGCTGTGCGGAGAGATACTGAAGGGGTTGGTAAGAGGAGGGCTTGGAGAGGGCAATTGGATTTGACAATGTGGCAGTTCTTTGGGATGTGGACAAGAATATTTTAAAAAGAGTTCTGGGGACCAAAAGCCCATCGCAGTAGGTAAGGAAGTGGATCCAGAGACCATGAGTGACTTTGTTGAGAATTTTGCTAGAAAAGGGAGTAGAGAAATGAGGCAGCAGTTAGAAGAAGATGTAGGGTCAAAGGAGGGATTTGGTTTGTTTGTATGTTCTGTTTAAAGATGAGAGACAGTGAAGCATATGAGCATGCTGAAAAGAATGACCTAGTGGGGCTGATGATACAGGAAGGTGTGTAATTAACAGAAGTGGAGCCAGCCGTCAATAACAGAGTTGATTACACTACCCAAATGAGAGCAGGAGTTCTCAAACGCAGGAAACATCCAAGCCTGACACTTGTATTCTAAGACACATCTTTTGACTTTTGTAATAAAAATATAAAATCTGAATCAAAGTGCTACAATTTATCTTCTAAAATTTCTAAAATCACATAGCAGTGATATAAAGAAGAATCTTTAATTCTCATATTCAGAGCTTCATAGATACCATATCTGTTTCTCCTACTTATTTGTAGTAGCTCATAAGCAAGAAGAGATGAGATCTAAAAGTTGCTAATGCTTTTTCAAAGTGTAATCCAAAATACAAGAGGATGCCATTCCCTATACTTAGACCCTCACTCACCTTGGGAAATGTCTGAAAATAAAATAATTTTTTTTTCCTTGAATGAAATGGCTCTAAGTTTAGAGACTGATTAAATATAAACTCAGCTGAGGAAACAAAAAACACACACACACACACAAAAGAAAAAAATCAACAAAATGTATTATATTTTTAGAAAAATTACAGAACAACTTCTGACAAATTAATAGTGTATTTTTAAAATCATTATTTCACTACACGAAGAGAGAAACTTGGATCTGGGAAGATCCCATTGAGCCATCAGGAAAACGTATAAAAGAAAATGTGGCCAACAAGCATATGAAAAAAGCCTCAATATCACCGATCATTAGAGAAATGCAAATCAAAACCCCAATGAGATACCCTCTTATACCAGTCAGAATGGCTATTACTAAAAAGTCAAAAAATAGATGCTGGCGAGGTTGCAGAGAAAAGGGAACACTTTTGGTTGGAGTGTAAATTAATTCAATCCTTGTGGAAATCAGTATGGCAATTCCTCAAAGAGCTAAAAGCAAAACTACCATTTGATCCAGAAATCCTATTACTGGGTATACAGCCAGAGGAATATAAATCATTCTACCATAAAGACACATGCAGGCAAATGTTCTCTGCAGCAGCATTCACAATGGCAAAGACATGGAATCTACCTGAATGCCCATGAATGACAGATTGGATAAAGAAAATGTGGTACATATACACCATGGATTACTATACAGCCATAAAAAAGAGTGAGATCGTGTCTTTTGTGGGAACATGGATGGAGCTGGAGGCCGTTATCCTCAGCAAACTAATGTAGGAACGAAAAACTAGATGCTGCATGTTCTTACTTATAAATGGGAACTAAATGACAAGAACTTATGAACACAAAGAAGGAAGCAACAGACGCTGGGGCCTACTGAGGGTGGAGGGTGGGAGGAGGGAGAGCAGCACAGAAGATAACTAGTGGGTACTGGGATTAATTCCTGGGTGATGAAATAATCTGTACAACAACCCCCCGTGATACAAGTTTACTTGTGTAACAAACCTTCTCATGTATCCCTGAACCTAAAATAAAAGTTAAAAAAAAACAGGAAAGTGCATTGTACAACATCTAAAGAAGGCACAGAAAATCGCACATTTTTGCTACAGTTCGGGTACAGTGAATATTAAATGTGGCATTTTCTTAAAGCATAACTATGATGTTAAAATGAATTCCAGGATTAGACACTACTACAGAAAATGGTAAGTAGTCAGACTGTTATATTTTCTGTCCTATCTCTGGTCTCCCTCCAACGTTCCACCACAACCATCAGAATGTCACTGTTCTCAATCTTAAGATCTGAACTCAAACTTTCTAACAAGGCATTTGTCTCCATGAGCTTCCCAAAGACCGATGCATAAGATGATGGGAACTAGATAGATACAGAGTTTAAAGACAGCTTCAAACTTCTAATCTTGGGCAAATAACTTCACTTTGGTGGCTAGTAAATAAAGGGGTTAATTAGATAACCTCTGAGTTCTTATTCACTTTTAAAAATTTATCATTCTACAGTGCATTAGTGGTGGTGACCTTGTAGATGTCGAGATCATGATTTAAAAGGAACTGTTGAATTCCATGTTAATGCATCATTGCACTTAATTAGGAGGTTTTATACATTTCAAATGAAAGGTTGAGATGAATGTGTTATTTCAACTGAAAAATTCAATAACACCCAGGTAGAAAAGGAGGCAAATTCTAAGGTCCACAAATAAGTGATTTATAAACTCAAAAACACATTAACACCAACTTTAATAGAAAATAAGTTCATTCCTTCCCCCTTAGCTTTTGTTCACTTATCTTTGCTTTTTGTATGCAGATAGAAACCGCTCAAAAAATAAATAAATAAATAAATAAAAGGAACTAAGGAGGATGGTGTGGAAATGGAAGAAAGGAGTGAGTGAAGGAAAAAGAACACTTTTTCTTAACAGGAAGACAGAGTATGTTAGCTACCCCAACAAGTTTAAAATCCCCCAAATTAGAGTCATGTTTTTAGCAAGCTACACTCTTTGTAAAGATGATTAATAAATATTCCACATGTGGTTACCTGAGATGAAACTGTTATTAATTCATTTCAAGGGCATTAAGCGCTTGCCTGGACCACCACAGATTAAGAAGCAGTAGCCAGGCCGTGGGAACCTGTGGGGAGAGGCATCTGTATGAAATGCTTTTTCATGTTGACAGCCTGAAACTTCTTAGGTTTTAAGGTCATTTAAGCATTATTGCTCCTTCCCCTTTGCTTCTAAAAGCTTATCTTTCTCAGATGTCAGGAGAACATTCTAGAAACATCAGCAAATATGACACCTAAGAAACTAGCTTCACAACTTGTTATTTTGCTGGATATATGATATTCCAGTGACTATGGCTATGTAATAGTTACTCCAAAACCTGGTAGCATAAAGCAACCACTTATTAAGTCCATGGATTCTGTGGACAGGAATGTATACAGAACACAAAGCAGACATCTTATCTCTGCTTCCTAATGTCGAGGGGCTCAGCTGGAATAATCTGAAGGCTCCTTCATGTCTTTGTTGGGAGCCTGACACTGGCTGATGGCCAAGAAGGTAGTTGGATTTGGGTCACATACCCATGTGTGGCCTCTACTTGTGCCTGAGCTCCAAAGGTGAGTGCGTTGGGAGAGAGATAGGGAGAGACAGAGAAAAAGAGGAGTGGGGAGAACAGAGGGAAATGGGCAGGGAGAAGGAGTGGGAGGAAAAGGGAGACAGAAAAACGAGGCAGAAACCATATCAGCTTTTATGACCTTGCCTTGCAAGTTCCCTAGCTTTCTTTCCAGGACATTCTGTCGATTAGCAGCTAGTCACTAAACCCTGCCCATATTCAAGAGGGGGGATTTAAACTCCCACTTCTCAATGGAGGAGTGCCAGCCTCACATTATAAACAGAGCATGTGGGATGGGATATGCTTTTCTGTGGCAATCGTTGGGAAATAACAATCTGTCAAAAGTGGATAACTTCATCTTTAAGCAAGTTTATTGGCCTGTCCCAAGTTGCATCTAGACCTTATTCCTAGTATCCGCCATCTGCCTGGAGTAGGAAAGGACATCTTGTTGTTTCTGTTTCTCAGGAAAGACAGGACAGATTCTTATGACCTGAAACAGCACCTCAACTCTTACCTTGGATATTTCTACATGAAGAATCTGCTCTGAAACTATAGCAAACAATCACAGAGTGTTTGAGTGTGAGTCCAGACTGGTTCGGGAAGACCAAGAAGCAATGATGATGTCTGTTTTTGTCAAATGTCTGAAAACTATTTTTATTTTTCTAAAACTTTGTTCAGAAGTCTCAATATTGTAGTGTATAGAGATGTACACTAATTTAGTGATATGAAGATGAAGGGCTTTAAGCCTGTGTTCCTTGCAGGCATCTCAGTACCTAGGAACTCCAAAGAACAAACTGTTGCTCGTGCAAAATTAAATTTCATAAAACAGCAAAGAATGGTGCCAGAGTTTAATTAATAGGATAAGGTTATGAGTCAGACTGTGTACCCCAAAAAAGATATGTTGAACTCCTAAGCCCCTGAACCACAGAATGGGATCCTATTCAGAAATAGGCACAGTGTCCGGGCACCATGGCTCACACTGGTAATCCCAGCACTCTGGGAGGCTGAGGTGGGTGCATCACCTGAGGTCAGGAGTTTGAGACCAGCCTGGCCAACATGGTGAAACCCCATCTCTACTAAAAATACAAACAGAACAGTTAGCCAGGTGTGGTGGTGGGCACCTGTAATCCCAGCTACTTGGGAGGCTGAGACAGGAGAATGGCTTGAACCCAGGAGGTGGAGGTTGCAGTGAGCCGAGATCGTGCCATTGCACTTCAGCCTGGGCCACAAGAGTGAAACTCCATCTCAAAAATAAGTAAATAAATAAATACATACGTAGGCACAGTGCAGTTGTTGTTAGTTAGAATTAGGTCACACTGGATTAGGGTGAGTCCTTAATCCAACAGGTCTGGTGTCCTTACAAATAGACAAATACACAGAAGGAACATGGCCACATGGAGATACAGACACACCAAAACATCATATTGAGATGTGGGCAAAGATTGGAGAGACACTTCTCCAAGTCAAGGAACATCTGGGACTACCCAGAAACTGTAAGAGGCAGAGAAAGGTCCTTCCCTGTAGGCTTTAGAGGAACATGGCCCTGCCAACATCTTGATCTTGGATTTCCAGCCTCCAGCATGTGAGACAAGTTTCTGGGTTTTTTTGGAGACAGAGTCTCACTCTTGTCACCCAGGCTGGAGTGCAGTGGCATGAACTTGGCTCACTGCAACCTCCTCCCAGGATCAAGGTATTGTCCTGCCTCAGCCTCCCGAGTAGCTGGGATGACAGGGGCCCGCCACCACGCCAGCTCATTTTTGTATTTTTTACTAGAGAAGGGGTTTCACCATGTTGGCCAGGCTGGTCTTGAACTCCTGACCTCAAGTGATCCACCCGCCTTGGCCTCCCAAAGTGCTAGGATTACAGGTGTGAGCCACTGCGCCTGGCAAGTTTCTGTTGCCTTAAGCCACTCTTTCTGTGGTAATTTGTTATCATGGCCCTAAGAAATGACTAGAGAGAGAAAGCAAATCCCTTTGTTTCTGCATTTACTGAAACAGATGAATAGATTTCTAGCTCCCTTGGGGTCTGAACTTTTAAAAGAGAGATTTCTTATACATATGATAATCATGATATTGTCATTTAATGTTTGGCTTCCTACATCAGTGACAGCCTTATGTTTCCTCCTACCATTTCATGAAATATTGCTTGTCCCAGGCACCATATTTGCATTTGAGGAACCTATATCATTGCTTTTTTCCTTTATGAAATCTTCCCTAATCTTTCCAACAGGAAGTAGGCCCTCTAATCCCTAAACTTCCTCAGCACCATATCTGTACCCGATGTGGTGATTTCCTTGTCCTCAAATGTCTCTGGTTATTTATAGAAGTGACATCTTCCCTACTGGATAAACCACTGGAGGGAAGGGTTGAGGTTTTTAGGTCTTCGTACAGTATTTCCCACTGCACTTAAGATAGGCTTTGTGTTTAGTAAGTGCTGCATAAATATTTAAAAATTGGCTGAGAAGTTTTATGAGAGTTTATGCGATGAAGGTGTCCCAGAGCAAAACTTACAAGTATGTTTGGATTGGAAGATTATGATCCAGCTCTTCACTACCGGTCACCGCTTGCTGGACTCAGTGGGCACTGCAGACGCTGTATGCTATGTGAACAGGGCCCCGTAGAGCTTTGTAATGAAGCATCCCCTTTTACTACCTAGACCTTTCATAACCACAGGGTTACATCCCTCACTACACACCATTAAAGGATGTGGCCCACAGAAAAAAGCCCACCAGAATGATTAAAAGCATGGCTTTGTGCCAGATATCTTGGATTCTGTGTTGCCCCACTCAGACCTCCCTCCATAAGAACCTACTAAGAGACCGAGACCCCAAATGCTGCTTTGCCCCTCACCAGAGCATTCATGGCAACCCAAACTTCTAGGCTGCTCCCAGCCAAGAAGTGAACAATGTGAAGGTTCTAAACTAGACCATTCTTGCTTGATGCAAGTTTCCACCATTCACCGGATTCTCCATCCATGGGCCCGGTCAAGACGTTCTCAGATCTGTGAAGTCATCTGAGACTCTTCCTACCCAGTCTTTTCTTCCCTCTCTCCTTTCACAGATTTCACACCTGAATCTCAGTCTGAAGCCTTCTTCAGCCCCCTCCTCCTGTTTCTGCTCCCTTTATCCTCCATGGGTGTGGCTCCCAATAAAGCTCATGCACCTCTCATCTCGTCTTGGTGTTTCCTTCTCAGAGGACACAGGTTCAAATCCTGGCTCTTTTATTTGTAACCTCAATGTGTGACGTTGGGCAAATAATTAAACTCTTTTCGGCCTCAGTATCCTTATTTGCAAAAGTAGGGAAAGAATGGCATCTACTTCACATGGCTGTGGCAAGGACTAACTTGTGTGTAAGGCACATAGAAAGTACCCATGTGGTGAGCACACAGTGCTTGTGATCACGAATGCTTCAGTGTCCGGCCTGAAAAGGCATTTGATCCATGTGTGATGAATGTTAGAAGTAAACACTGTCATTACTGCAATTCTCCGTGCAAAGTATTCTTGACTCTGTGTTATATGGATGACATTAATTCTCCACTCCCCTTGATAGATATCGCTATATCTTCACCTTTAGATTGACCTGCAGAATAGCATTCTGAAGCTATTCCAGGATAATTTCCCAAGTTTCTAAGCATTCCATTATTTTTTAAAGGAAGATATTATATTAATTAAAAATCAGGCTGGGCACGGTGGCTCATGCCTGTAATCCCAGGACTTTGGAAGGCCGAGGCTGGAGGATCACCTGAGGTTGGGAGTTCAAGACCAGCCTGTCCAACATGGAGAAACCCCGTCTGTACTAAAAATACAAAATTAGCCGGGCGGGGTGGCTCATGCCTGTAATCCCAGCTACTCGGAAGGCTGAGGAGGGAGAATCGCTTGAACCCGGGAGGCGGAGGTTGTGGTGAGCCAAGATTGTGCCATTGCACTCCAGCCTGGATAACAAGAGTGAAACTCCATCTCAAAAAAAAAGAAGTCAAATTCCTTGCTTATGCTTATTTTCACTTGTTCTTATTTCCCTACCCTTTGTGAAAAAGAATTGCTTTTGTCCTGTTTATGACAGTAAGAAAAAATACGTCTCTACTCATTCTCCCTCTCTCTAGACTAAACATTCCCAGTTCTCCTAATGCTTTCTTTTTGATCTTCATTTCCAAACTATTTATCACTTGCTCTCTTTTCCTGAATGCTCTCCAGCGTTCCAAGAAGTTGAGCCATGCATTGAAGAAAGTTCTCCAAAAGTAGCTTGAGTGATTGCAGATAGAAGCAACAGGAACTCTGCCTGTCTTTCCCTTAAGGCCTGTGATTAATAAAACCTGAGGAAGGTAGTTTCTTGGTTTAATTGATAGCTTCACTTTATTGGGGCAGAAACCCATAGATTAATAAGAAATTAGGTGGAGGGGGACTGTTTTCCTGTCTTGGTATAGTGGTATAAAAGAAATTCAGTAATGAAGAATACCTATTTCTAGCTGGAAAAAAGTGCACTCATTGATTATTATTAAATAGCTAATTTGAAAAGCTTGTATTATTTAACTCATGTATCACTTGCTGATAATTTTATAACTGAGAAAATTTTTCAGGGGCTATAACTTAAATTAAAACATGCTCTAAAGTTGTGTTTCAAAAGAAAAAGAAAAGAGAACCCACCAATTAAAGGCAGTATTTTGTTCTATAATGCATCCTTCCTGGCAGTGAAACTATTTTATTGTTCCAACGTAAAAGCCTTGGTTAGAATGTTTTGCTTTGGATCCTGTTTTTAAGTGAGCACTACCTTTGTGTTACTCATTCTTATGATTCTCATTTACTAAGAGTGAATATGAAGCACAATTTATGGCCACCAGAGCTCTGATCTATAGTGTTCACGAGCATAATAACCACAGATAATTTGTGCAGACTGGATTGGTGGTCTCCGTTGCATGTATTGGTATCTGTGACAGGCAGAATCTAGGTCACAAGCTACCAGACTCACAGCACAATGCCTGGCATTGTGTCAATTACATGAATCCATGGAAACGAAGAGGAGAAGCTTGAATTTCACCCATAGCATCATGGGGAAAATGATGAGTTTTTTGACAGAGGCCGAAATAGTGTCTGGCCATTTTCTCCTTCCTTTGGGACATCAGGATGATCCAGAGATACTTCCCAACAAACTAAGCTCAGTTAGCCATGCTTCATTCAAACTCAAAGGCTTGGCCTTATCTCTAAATAAAATACATGGAAGACAACCACTCAGGGGGGTGGAAATCAGAGATTTAGGACACCCTGGGATACAACAACAACAACAGTATAGCGGGGGACAGGAAGGCCCCAAGACAATGAGGCTTTAAGTTTCCCTAAAACTAAAAGAGCTGTGCTTTTGAAAGCTTGTCATCTGAAACGAACAGAGGATTGACAGAGAAAATTAGTTTGACATTCTGAGGACACAGTGTTGAAAAAAAAAAAAAAAAACTAAGAAAAATTTGCTGCAAAAAAACAACAGAAACCAAATCTAAAATAAAATGTAATTGTAAATACTTAAACGCACATCCCCTCATAAATTTCCCAGCGGCCCTGGATTTCTCTCATGAAAGCAGGTGCTGGAAGAGAATCAACAGATCAGAGATACAAACACCAAAGGAAAGAATAAGACCTTCTTGGTTAAGTTTAGGTCCATTCGTCCAACTTGGCTTCACATAGTTAAAATTCATACTGAAGTCACTTTGGAATGTTTGCAACCAGTCATTTGCCCCAGCTAGGAACAAAGCTAGGGGTGAGCATAAGAATGCAAAACAAGCAGAAGTCATTAAGAAGAAGGTAGCCCAAGAGTCTCAGGCTTTTATATGAAGCTGTGGGATCAGGGAGTCATTTTCCCATCCATTCTTTTCTCATGATTAACTAAGATAATGTCCCTGTGTCTTTGCTCTCTCTATCATCCTCTCTCCTTTCTGGAAAACCGCATCCTTTGTCAGGGGTATGGTAAGTGGGAAGGCCTCTAGGCTGAGATTGGAGACCCTTGAGGCTTGCACTTAGTGCTAATACATGCAGTGTGATTCTGAACTCACATTCTTCAAGAGTGAAGTGAAAAGTTTAGGCTGCATGCTCTCTGCCTGCCCGGGCCGCGGTAACACAGTACTGTACACTGCGCAGCCTAAGTAACAGAAATTTATTTCCTCACTCAAGGCTTTGATAGGGCTGGTTTCTCCTGAGGCTTTTCTCCGTGGCTTGCAGATGACATCTTCTCCCTGTGTCCTCACACAGTCTTCCCTTTGTTATGTCTATGTCCTCATCTTCTCTTCTTATAAGGACACCAGTCGGGTTGGATTTCGGCCCACTGCATGAACTCATTTTACCTTAATTCCCTCTTTAAAGACCCCATCTCCAAATACAGTCACATTCTGAAGAACTGGGGGTTAGGACTTCCACATATAAATTTTGGAAGAGATACACTTCAGATAATAATCTCCAAGGTTGCTTTCCGTTCCAGAGTCATTGGATTTTTTTTTCTCTTTCAAGTACTGACTTTTCATTAATTTATCTTTCCAGTACTAAAAGGGAAGATTCAGCCTGCTATGTTTAGAAAAGATTGCAAAGGACTGAAGTTGTACTTTTCAGCTATCTGTAACCTTGGTCTCTTTAAAATAAAGCCATTCCAAGCCCAGCATGGAGGCTTATCCCTGTAATCCCGGAACTGTGGGAGGCTGAGGCAGGAGGATTGCTCATGGTGACGTGTGGGTCTGTAGTACCCCAGGAGTTCAAGGCTGCAGTGAGCTATGATCACACCACTGCACTCCAGCCTGGGTGTCAGAGCAAGACTCTGGTTTGTTTGTTTGTTTATTTGTTTGTTAAAGCTATTCTGTAGGGCAGAGGGCACTATTCCAGAGTCTGTGAGTAAACCTAAAATTTCTGTACTTTCTCAAAAATGAGACCATTGCACCTATGGCCATTAGAGAATCTTTTGAAAGAGGCTTGCCCTATGAGAATTTTCTAGGATTACTTTTTGAAGGGCATCAAGACTTTCGCCTCACTGTCTTCAGGACTATCCCATGCCTTGGCTATGTTCTTTCAGATGCAAAAGACAGATGTTGTGTTCTGTTTTTTTCATAAGGATGCAAGAGAAGATAAGGAAGACAAGATCTCAACCACTTTCAGCAAAGCTTTGCGGAGAATGCAACATCCTTCAAGACACCATGAAGCTCCACGCATCTGGTCATCTTGTTTCTTCAGGGAATAAATTTATTGTTCTCTGCTTCAGGTGACTGGAGGAGACAAAGTGATCCCCCATTTATGTCTCTGCCTCTACCTTCCCTGCTGCTACCTGCAACTCTCTGGTGTCTTTGGGGGGTTCCAACTCCTTGACGGGGAGGGCGAGTTCCCTGGGCAATTGGCCATCAGTGCACCCTGCCTCTATTGGGAAGAGCTCTTCTACCAGGCTGTTCCATTCTCACAAGTAAGCCTAAAAGAGATGGCTCCCTCAGTGGTTTACCTCTGGTCCTATCAATCTGATGATGAGGCCACTTAGTTCTAAGTAAAGTGACAGATGACCAAGGACTTTCTTTGAAGAGACATTGGGTTGGCCAGGCGCGGTGGCTCTTGCTTGTAATCCCAGCACTTTGGGAGGCCGAGGTGGGCAGATAACCTGAGGTCGGGAGTTTGAGACCAGCCTGGCCAACATGGAGAGACCCTCTCTCTACTAAAAGTACAAAATTAGCTGGATGTGGTGGCACATGCCTGTAATCCCAGCTACTCAGGGGGCTGAGGCAGGAGAATTGCTTGAACCTGGGAGGCGGAGGTTGCAGTGAGCCGAGATTGCACCACTGCACTCCAGCCTGGGCAACAAGAGAGAAACTGTCTCAAAAAAAAAGAAAAAAGAAAAGACATTGGGTGTTCTTGATACTTTAAGATTTCACAGACGAAGAAAATGCAAGTCAGCAAGCAGGTTGCTGAGTATTCCCAGGGTATTCCATCCTTTTCTTCCATTTACCAAAGAGCTAAAGAGTAGTTTATATTCATTGCCTTCACTTTTGCATCTTCACTTTTTTTATACTTCATTTGTTTACCATATCCCTGAAATCCTAGCAGTCTGACATCTGAGAGCCTACCTTCTTTCCCTTAACTCTAACTGAAATTAACTCCCAACTTTAATATCCATTTGTCTTTCTCTCCCCCAACTTGCTGCTGTGTTTAAAACTATTGATTGACAACCCTACTTGTAAAGGCCCCTACCTTGGCTCCTATGACTGCATTATCCTGGGGGTGGGCAGGAAACCCTAGGGAAAGCCTTTCATCAATGAACCTGGATGTGAGTCCTGATTTTTCTCAATACTATCTATGTCACACTGTGTATGTTAATTTTGTTCAATAAGCTTTATTCTTGTTCACCTCGTATATTTGTGACGATTGAGTAATGGGGAAGAATATATTTGTGATGACTGAGTAATGGGGAAGAATTTTGGATAACACCAGGGTTTGGGCTTAGGTGAATAAGAGAATAAATGTGCAGATATTCAAGGCTTACTTCTTATACGTAATTAGTTGCTAAGAGAGATTAACTTCACTTCTATCACGTCTCCCAGATTTATTCCTCCTCTTCATTTTTATTACCTTGGTAGAACTCTTCACCACCTTTGACTTGGCCTAGTGGTTAATGAGCTGAGTTCTGAGCAGCTTTTGGGATTTCCAGGGAGATTCCTCAAGGACTTCTCCTCATTTTAGCAAGGTTAGCTCCACTTTCATCTGTTTTATTTATGTGTTTGTTTTTTTATTTGAAGAAAATATTTTCATTTTCAACTTTAATAAGAAACGACACTTACCCAGTTATTGATTCTGCCTCATCATCGGTCTCTATCTTCAGATCACCTCCCATATGATCTTAGAGTCAGTTCTCTGATTACTTATCCTGAAGCATATTTCTGATCCTGTCATATTGCATTGCCCGGAAATCTACTGTCCAAAATAGCAGTCCTTGGCCATTTGACTACTTAAGTTCGTTAAAATTAAATTAAATTAAATTAAATTAAAAATTCAGTTTCTTAGTGGCACTAGCCATATTTCAAATGCTTAATAGCCACCTGTATCTAGTGGCCTCCATTTTGAACAACTCATTGTTAGAACAGTTCCATCATTCTGGAAATTTGTATTGGATAGAGCTGTGCTAGATAGCTTGATAAACATTTCTGACCTTGGCATTAGGATTTAAAATCTATCTTTACCTGGCTCCTCTGCTGCTGTTTTCCTTTATAAAATGCTTCTGTAAGACTGAACTGTTTTCAAACATGCCATACTCAATTCCTGCTGTCATGCCTCCACTTACCCAACCCCACTCAGAGTGTCTTTTGCTCCATCACTGAACACCCAAATCCTACTCCCCATTTAAGGACTGTCCTCCAAGAAGTCTTTTCTAATTTCCGAACTCAAAGTAATTTACTCTTCCTGTGAACTCTTACAGGATTTTAAATAAAGCACTCTAATGTCATCTACCTCATTTCTTCTAGAATTATAACTATCTATACATGTATTTTAGCCCTTTAATTAGTCGGGGTTCCTCTGAAAGCTGATTCTGAGACAAGGATTCAAATCTGAGTAGTTTAGCTGAGAGGTGATCCCAGTAATCATCAGTGGAGGAGGGGGTTAGTAAAAGTGGGAGGCAAAGAAAATCAATTAAGGATGAATTATCAGTTCAGTTACTGATATGGAGGACTAGACCTCAATCCCACTGGAGGCAATGTGGAACAAAGTTATCCCAGCCAAGGTCAGGGAGGCTCCAATGTGTATTCACCAATGCCTTGCCCATTATTTATTTGAGGGATTCCAGGGAAAATCATTCTTGAGCATTTCCATTTTGTCCTGCATTCAGGGCAGGCACACTTGGCCAGTAAAGAAAATCCCCCCAGCAGAGAATTGCAGATACTCACAGCAAGAAGCCTTTCTTGTGAATGGAGGATGGATGTGGAGCTGGTCCGAGCAGTCTGCCTACTGCATCTGCTATGACACCCAGCAAACTGGAAGGTAGGTCCTGGAGGGCTGAGGTCACATGAGTCATAGATGTGTGTCTCCCTCAGTGACCTAACACCGGCAATCAGCAAAGAGTTGTTCAGCGAATGAATGCGTTATCCCGAAGATATTAGGTACTGGAGAAGAATTTGTCATGGAACCCAGTGGTTTGGATGGGTCAATTCACTTGCTGTCAACTGAGATAATCTCTGAATAGACAGACCTACGCCTAGGGTTTTCTGTTGGCTTTGATGTTCAGTACTTATGGACTAAACATTGTACAAGTGTGGGAATTTGTTGAACCAGACTGTAAAGGAGTTTTGAGATTGCTTCAGAAGCAAAGGAGCTTATATCTAGAGAGGAATACTCGGGAACATCGACTGCAGCACTTGCCTTGGTTAGATGCCTGATGATGCTGTTGTCACAGCCACCAAGGGAACCAGGTTTTTTCATTGCAGCCGGGCTTCAATACAGTCAGCCCTCTATGCCTGTCAGGAGAGGTGGCGGTGCAGTGTAAGACTTGGGAATCTAGGAAGAAAGGGTGTGTGTGTGTCTATGTGCGTGCATAGCATGTGTGTATGTGTGTGTAGCGTATATGCTATGTATGTGGTATGTGTGTGTATGTGTTTGTATGATGCATGTGCTGTGTGCTGTGTATGTTGTGTGTGGTACGTATGTGGTGTGTATATGTGTATTTATGTGTGTGATGTGTATAGAGTCGTGTGTGTGATGTGTATGTGTATGGTGTGTGCGGTGCATATGTGATATGTGCATGTGTGTGTGATGTATGTAGGGTCGTGTGTATGTGTTGTGTGTGTATGATGTGTTGTGTGTGTGCTGTGTATGTGGTTGTGTGTGTGGGTATATATGGTATGTGTATGTATGCATAGGTTTGTGATGTGTGTAGGGTTGTGTATGTATATGGTGTGTGTGTGATGTGTATATGTATATTTGTGTGATGTGTGTAGGGTTTTGTGTGTGTGGTGTGTATATGTGTGTGGTGTGTATATGTATGTGTCTTTCTGTCCTCCAACTTGCTGCTGCATTAGGGTTGTGTGTGTATGGTGTGTTAGGGTGGTGTGTGTATGATGTGTGTGGTGTGTATGTGGTTGTGTGGTGTATATGTGGTGTGTATATGTGTGTGTATATTGGGTTGTGTGGTGTGTGTGGTATGTTTGTGTGAGTGTGTGTGGAGTGTGTGCATGTGATGTGTATTGGGTTGTGTGTGTGGTGTGTGTGTGTGGAGTGTGTGTATGTGATATGTATCGGGTTGTGTGTGTGGTATGTTTGAGTGTGTGTGTGTGGAGTGTGTGCATGTGTGTATCGGGTTGTGTGTGTGGTGTGTGTGGTATGTTTGAGTGTGTGTGTGTGTGTGGAGTGTGTGCATGTGTGTATCGGGTTGTGTGTGTGGTGTGTGCACACGTGTGTGCTGAGAGTCATTGAGGGTACGCATTGCAGCCCTACAGGGCTGCAGAGGACCGAATGCCTGCCTGCACCATGTTGACCCTGATAGCAAGGCTGCTACAATATCGCCTTCCTCATGCCCGTGGCCTACTTTGCTCCCAACTCTCACAGACAAGGAGCCACACATTAAAAGCCTATGTTAAGCAGTCATGTGTCCCAAGAGAAGGGGAACATTGCAGTAAGAAATTCTGGTGAACGATAGAAAGCCAGGTGAGATGAACCTGGGGTACAGGGTCCTGGTCACCTAGCTAACTCAGTTTTCAAGGAGGAACCTGGTTGGAGACTCAGGTAGAAGAGGAAGCTCAGAACAAGTTTCAAACTGGAAGACCAGACAGTGGTTGCAAGTAGAGTCCCTCGAGGCTGAATCACAGCTCACAGTGTATAATTTTTAGAATACTCATCTTCCAGTCCCAGCTTGACACTGACTTGGGGAAGTTACATAGCCTCTTTCAGGCCCCTGCATCCTCATCTTTTAAGACAAAGATGGTGAAAGTCTCTGTTGTCAGGATTAGAGGATTGCTTTTAGCAGAAATTCCCCATGGAGAGCAACTATTATTATGGATGCTGGATCCTGATGGATACCTCGGGGATATCCCATCCCAGTTAAATCTGTAGTAAGGGTTCAGGATGTAACATGGCAGCCAGGAACTGGGGTCATTGCACGGTCATCAAACTCTGAGTTTCACAGTAGATTTGTAGGTTTAGGTTTAAAGTTGCTTACGCAATCCCAGGTTGGTTTGGGAACTAGTGTGGGCTGAGCCTACTGGTGTGGGGAGCTGTAGCCGCAGGGTTAGGGAGAGAAAGGCAGTGTAGAGAGAGATTACGTGGGTGTAGGATTGGGGCCTCATAGACATGCCTCAAAACATTGTGAAGTAAAACTGGGAATAGGGCAACACAAGTATAGGAAGAGAGAAAATGGCCTCTCCAGAATAACTTGAGAGATAACTGCGACCACATCATCTCCAAATACTTCTCCATCCCACACTATAGAATTCCTGTCTGGAATTCCAACTGCTGGATCTCCGGGTTAGGCAACCAGGAAGAGAACATTTTCTACAGGTGGTGACGATTAAAATGCTTCTGTCACCAGAAGGCAGAGAGGCTCAGGGGGGCTGGGGGGGCTGCAATCCTTCGTTCTACTTCTTTTATCGGCACATTGTTCTTTAAAGATGTGGAGATGGTCCCTGTTGGGATAGCACGTGAAACACACTGGTTTCCTGGCTGTAAATAAAACCACTGGTGTTGTGTTTGACATAGCTGCTTTAGTACTTGGTCAGCAGTCCCATATGGTCTAGCAAACCTCTTAATTACAACTACAGAGGACAGATTCCTCTAGTAAACATCACCATGTTTAACTTTTCCTCCTCCTGCTGCTGTCAGTGCACAGAGCATTTGAACTTGTAAGCAGCAGGGGAGAAATACCAAATGTACACTCCCCTACCAGAGCTGAGCTTCTCACACCATTAGAGTTTGAAAGGGCCATTTGGGCAGGTTGCATGAAAAACTGGTAGACACCTGCTCCACTTTACCAAACCACAGTGAAGCAAAGTTTGGTTACTGTGTTTTTTTTTTTTTTTTTTTGAGACGGAGTCTCGCTCTGTCGCCCAGGCTGGAGTGCAACGGCACAATCTCGGCTCACTGCAGCCTCTGCCTCCCAGGTGCAAGTGGTTCTTCTCCTCAGCCTCCCGAGTAGCTCAGACTACAGGCGCATGCCACCACGCCTGGCTAATTTTTGTGTTAGTAGAGATGGGGTTTCACCATATTGACCAGGCTGGTCTTGAACTCCTGACATCAGGTGATCCACTGGCCTCGGCCTCCCAAAATGCTGGGATTACAGGCGTGAGCCACCGTGCCCGGCCAGTTTGATTACTGTTTTAAAGAGACGAGAGAACTAATGTGAGCAAAGGGGCCAGGTAAGGAAAAGATGACTCCGGTATCCTTGAGTAAACTCTCTGTATCCAGGTGGTCAATTTCTGATCCAGTTCATTAGCACCCATGACTGATGGAATAATTTTGCAAGGCCTGGTTTGGCAAAAGTACAGGAAGAAGGCATAGCTCTATGAGTTGAATGGAAGTCTAGAGGTACAGAAAAGGGTGGAGTTGGCCTGCCTATGAGATCATTCTAACATTGGCATGTAGAGGGGGAGGGTGTGAACTATGCTAATTTGTTATAAAAATGAGCGGAACCTTCGAGCCGGCTTCTGCTTTGAACATCCCTCCTGATCTCAGCAAGCTGCCTCCACCAGAGAAGGGCTGCCATGCTGGGAAACTCCATCCAGTGACTCCATCCCTTGGAAACATGCCCGTTTGAAAAAAGTACTACCCTGCTTAAAGATTCTAAATCTTGCCTTAATCCACTTCAGATTGAACTATTGCCAAAAAGGTACTTATTCAGAGTCTTTCACCTATGAAACCAAGATGCCGTGTGCCCATTGTAAATTCAGATGTGTCCAGTCACATGTTTAGTAGAGACATTTCAGGATGTAATTTACATAGTCATCAAACTGTGAGCTGCACACCAGCTTTGTAGGTTTGGGTTTAAAGTTGCTTGAACAATCCAAGGTCAGTTTGGGAACTAGCATGGGCTGAGCCTGCTAATGTGGGTGCATCGGAGGTGCAAGGGCAATAGGGTGGGCTTACCATGGTATGTTATTTGCCTGAGGAGTGAATGCCTTATGAGGAAGAAGTCATCCCCAGGTAGAGTATACAGATCTGGGCCACAAAACATGGTTTTTCGTCATTTTTGGAGAGACTGGGTAGTACGAATGGCTGCTCATACTGCTGTATGCCTGAACAGGCCCTCATAGACATGATAAAGGACCCTAAGGAGATGAGCCCCAAGAAGACAGCCTAGCAATGGAGGATAATAGTCACAGGGACAGAGGCTGCCTCCCTGCCTACCTCATCACACTCTAGCCACTGCACTGACAGGCTACCAAGTGCATGGAATGAGGTCATGGCCATTTGTGGGAAGTGCTTAGTAGTGACCCGAAAATCCTGCTGTCAGTATCAGTGACTGTGGGACCCAGCCAAGTACCCTCTAAAGAGTTGCAGCAGGCTTGTCACCATAGCTACTGTGGATTCACAAGGCTGTTTTGAGGATCCAGGGGAACTTCTCGAGAGCATGTGCACAATTGTCCCTGGGAATTTCCGAAACTAGCTGGGAGAGATTGGAGATGTTCTGAGGCTCTCATGCTCCACAATTTGTGGTTAAGCCAAAGAAGACAGCCTTTGCCAGTACTAGTGTGTCAAAGAAAAATATGTCACGTATACATTCTATGAGCACAAAGTGATGAGACAGGGCCATAAGTTAAGCATGGGAATCAGTCTCATCCCTGACAGACACACGTTAGGTAGGAACATGATTCTACTGATTTACCATATAATTGTGTTTGGCTTTCTTTTGTGTTAGTCCCAGCATAAGATAGATAGGGTTTGAGCTGATCACGCCTTACTTGAGCTGATCACACCTTACTTTCTCCCTCAGTTCTTGTGGTTAATTAGCAAGATGACAGGTCAGCTAGGGTATGGGTGGAGTCAAAGTTGTAGGATACCCTCAGAAAATCAGCTCTTCAGAGTTCAAGCTGCCTCCATCCTTTCTGACATTTGATTTATCCCCTACCAGGCTATGAAGCCTTGACTTTATAGTATAAACCTCTAATCAGATAAGCGGATCACAAAACCATCTTTATTCTCAAGACCACTGCTCTATTGCCCTAACCATCCTTGAGCCATCTCAGGGTAGAGGCATCAGCCTTCAGGAGTTACATAGGCACTGGCAGATCATCATAATAAGGACGGGTTGCCAACCTGCTCAGGTTACAGTGAATGCTGATGGGTAGAGTCTGCTTTGAATTTCTCTGACAAGAGGGAGATACAATGTATTTGGTTCACCCAATTCATTTTAAGGGATTTGGTTCCCAGATTTCCTGCAATCGGAATCATGGCCCATTTTCACAGCCACTAGAGCATTAAATTCGTGTATACAAAATAAAGGACTAGAAAACATGTAAACCTAAAAATGTTTAAGCTAAAATTGTGGTACAGATGTTATCTGAGTCCCATAAATCAGTATTCAGAAATATTGTCTTACTGTCAGAAGCAAACAGCAAACAGAGACTTGCATTAGCTATGTGTCTAGATAATGGCAAAAATTAAGTACAGTATTGTTTAGAAATCATAGGCTGGCAGATCTCTTTTCCTTTTCAGGGTTTAAAGAAAGCATAACCTTCTCTGTTGCATTTAACAAAGGAAAAAAAAGGATTTTCTTGTTTTTTGTGCGTACACCCTGCCTAGGGATGAGTTATTCATCAAAATAAGCTTCCTTGTGTTTTAGAATTTGAGAATTTAGAATACTGAGCATTCTCTAACACATCGCCCTAAACATGCTAGTTTGATTCTGAAGCCTTTTTTCCATTTTGTCAAGTTCACCCTCTGAAAGGGACAGTGAAAAATTAGGGGTTGGCTCCACCTGGTGCTTTGATTAGAAAATTACACCTCCATGTATGAGGGCTGTCAACGGACAGTGTGCCCTCTTGCGCACGGAAACAGTAAAAATACTACATAAATATTACTTAAAAATACTAAAACTACCCCACAAGAGTGACCAGTTAACTCACTTTCCATGCAGGGTGCTAAGGACTATTTTTGTATGGTTGTTTTAGTGTCTGTTGCTATGGAACAAATCATCTTAAAATATAGAAGCTTAAGACAACAAAATCATTTATTATCTCCCACGGTGTCTATGGGCCAGGAATTCAGAAGGAGCTCTGTCGGGTGGTTCTGCCTGGAGGCTTCTTTCACATGAGATCGCAATCAGACAGTACTTGGGGTTATTGTAAAGCCTCATTCGCTCCCGTGTCTGGTGTCTGAGCTGATAAGACTGGACAGGCTGGGGTGGGAGCTTCTCTCTGTCTCTATGTAGTCCCTCTTTAGGGTTTCTCAAGCATAGCCAGACTTGTTTCATGTTGGCTCAGAACATCCAAGGTGGTGTCCCCAGAAAGAGAGCCAGGAGGAAGCCGTGTTGCTTTTTATGATCCAGCCTCAGAGGTCAGGAAATGTCACTTCTGCTGTGTTCTGTTGATAGAGGTAATTGCAAACGTCTACCCAGGTTCAAGGGAAGGGAACATAGCCTCCACCCCTCAATACAGGAATGTCAGTGTCACGTCAGAAGAAGAGCATGTGGGATGGGATATATATTTGTGCATCATCTTTGTAAAAATACAATCAACCACAATTGTTTTATTTAATCATCCTTCACCGTAAATGAAGTTGCTTCGATATATCATTATCCCAATTTTACATTTAAGTGAAAGCAGAAGGAAACATTAAAGATCTTCTTACGCCCTTTCGGTGTCATACTAGAGCATTGCCTAATAAGCTGTCAAAAGTGTCATCTGTACACGATTCTCAGTCTTGGCGCTATTGAAATTTTGGTCTGGGTAATTCTTTGCCGTGGGGGCTGTTCAGGGCGTAATAGGTCATTTAGCAGTATCCCTGGCCCCTGCCCACCAGACACCAGTAGCACACCTTCATCCCTTTAGTTGCGATAGCCACAAATGTCTCCAGACATTGTCAGATATCTCTGGGGTGAGGAGAGGGCAAATGTTCCCCCAGTTGGGAAGTTTTACAGGAAGAAAGTTACTTTGATTATTTGCTATTGATGAAGGTGAGACTCTTGTAAAGTTAATGTTAACTTGTGGAGGATCATTATGTTGCAATTCATTTCTGTCCAGTAGGAAATATAAATCCTACAGATTATAGTTGTGTTGTTTTATAATTTACCAGTTTCAACTTCACTTGCAGTCTTATTCCAGCATTCTTTTTGTTCATTGACTATATATAGTAATTTTTCTTCTCCTTCTTCATTCATTGATAAGTTAAATAAACCTTTGTCACATGTGTGCATACACACACACACACACACACAAACGCACACACACACCAGCTCCTTGGCAGAATGCAGAGTGAGAATTCTCTCCAATATGGGGATATGGAGCTATTATGATCTCCCTTCAAGAAAGAACTTGTAGATTAGCTGTGAGGGTGCAGTTAGGTGATGGCCTTGGTTGCAGTGCCTCTGGTTGCTTAGCCACAGCAGTTGAGCTGAGGCCATGCTTTTCCTAGGCAGACCTTTAACAGCTAATGAGCACAGTGGGCGTGCCAGGGCCTGGCCCTTTCTGTTCATCATGGAACTTCTCCAACAGGCAGCCTTTGCTCTGGAGCTCTCTGTTGGGCTGGCTGAGACTTTTGCAGGACAGCACTGCAGTTTGAGACTCTTCCTAACTAACCCTCCTTCTCCCTCCCCTTTCACAGGTGACAGACCTGCATCTCTAGCCTTTTTGTGCTTCAGGCACAACTCAAAGCTGCCAATAATCATGTTGCCCAATTTGTGAGCTGGAACTGCAGTCTTTTTGTTTTTTTGAGACGGAGTCTGGCTCTTTCGCCCAGGCGGGACTGCAGTGGCGCTATCTTGGCTCACTGCAAGCTCCGCCTCCCGGGTTCACACCATTCTCCTGCCTCAGCCTCCTGAGTAGCTGGGATTACAGGCGCCTGCCACCGCGCCTGGCTAATTTTTTTTTGTATTTTTAGTAGAGATGGGGTTTCTCCGTGTTAGCCAGGATGGTCTCAATCTCCTGACCTCGTGATCCGCCCGCCTCGGCCTCCCAAAGTGCTGGGATTACAGGCGTGAGCCACCACGCCTGGCCTGGAACTGCAGTCTTAAGTGTGGCATGAGTTGCCTTCAGAACCCAAAGAGGCCTACCAGGCACTTCTTTTTTGAGGTATGAGATATAAGATGCAGCAATTTATCGTTTGCTTTGGAGGGAATATTCCAGCATGAACCTAACCACTGGATTCCTTAAATCCTCATTCATCTTTTCCTCTCTGGAGCATGAGTGTTTTACCAAGACCTCCAGCATACTAGCCACCTCTTGCTTCTTCTGGCCAATGAACATGATGTCATTGATGCAGTGGATGGGTTTGATGTTCCGTGGGTTCAGGTGATCTAGATTATTTCAGACTATTATGGCAAAGGGCAGCTGAGTTAAGATAGCTCTGAGGCAAAGCAATAAATGAATATTGGAGTCTGTCCACGTGAATGTGAATTGTTCCTGATCTTTTTTTCTAATATGGATAGAAAAGGCACATTCACCAAATAGACAACCACATGCCACGGGCCTGCGGCCTGTTTAATGTGCTCCAGCTGTGATCCCACCTCTGGCACAGCAGCCGCAGTCGACCACCATGTGATTGAAACTGTACTCATCTGTTGTCATTCTTCAGAGTCCATCCACTTCCTGCTGGGGGAGACTAGCAATTAAAAAGAGATATGATAGAGACGACCAATCCCTATTTTGTATTTACCATCTTGCCTGGGGGACAGTTTCGGAGTTTCCATTTGGCCTCTCCCACTATGATAGCACTTCCTCACTGACCAAGGAACAAATATAGGGTTTACTCCAACTGCCAAGTACATTCATTCCAGTGATACATGGAAATGGAGAAATGCTTCCTGGGTGAGTCTACAGGTTCTGTGGGCCCACTCTGTGCCAGACCCAGCTAGGACTCCATTCATTACTTGATTCTTATAAGGCCCCACTTCAACAAGGGGTCCGGGTGTCAAGGTCAACTCGGAACTTGTGTGCAATAGTCTAGACCTTCCCTTTCCCTGGCATACAGTCACCTAAGCAAATGGTCGTGGGTCCCTTTAGGGAAGGATGGGACAAGTCATCTCGATATAAACTTGTTGCAGTGTTGCAGGGTACTTATTCTTAGGGACCTGGCTGTCTTTTTAGTCAATGGATTTTGGACCTGAAAATTGGCTCAGTTCCTAGAATTGAGGAAAGTATCCTGACTTTTTACTGGGGCAATTGCTGTCAGCCTCTTGCCCCTCCTTTCTTGCCTTTTCTCGTTGTAGATGTTAAGCGTCAGCCTTGTTTGCCCTTATCTATTTTGCCTGTGGGAATGCCATGCTCCAGTATCCATCCCTCCACCTCCTTGAAGGTCAAGCCCCTTTGATGCCTCTGATCTTCCCGGTCGTTACAGTAACTGTGGACTCTGGGTTTCTAGTGGTTAAGCTTGGCCACTTGGTCTCTCATTCTGAGGCCTTACTATCCTCATGAATATTAATTACCTAGCTCTGTGACAGCAACCACTGAACATAGATGAGGCCTGATGTTTTGGTGAATGGGCCTTCCTGTGGGACATACTCCTCTGGTTAGTGTCCAGGTTTCACATAATATATCCATTCTAGCACATCTCACCTCTTTATGCTTTCCTCTAGCTTCTGCCAGGGAAACTCAGGCATTTGCACTGAGTCATTGGCTCGGGGGAGCTGGCAGGAAGCATGGATTTAGCATAAAGGTGGTGGTGCGTCACAAAGGACAGCAGTTGGGCCATAAGTCAGTTATGCTTCTGAAGCAGCAGACCAACATGGTGCATTTTCATGACTGCCACATATGCAAAAGCATGACATATATGATTTATTTTAAAAGAACCACCCTTGTGGAAACAACATTGGGCAAAATCAGTAAAATACTGACTTTATACACACTGTCATTTTAATAAAAATAAAGAGAGATAACATTTATTGAGCATTCATGATATGCCAGGTGCTCTATTAGACACATATTGTAACATTACCTCATTATGTAGTTATTACTATCAGTCTAATTTTACAAATGAGCAAGAGGAATACAATGTAACTAAAGAAACTGCTCAAATTTACATAGTAAGTAAAGAGGAAGACATGGAATTGGAACCAGGTGACCAAATTCACAGCATCAGATATTCTTTCGTTTTTTATGTCAGTGTTGTTTAGTTTTCAACATAGAGATTTTGCACATATTTTATTGGATTTATAGCTATATATTTCAGCTTTTGATGCTATTGTAGATGATACTGGTTTTAAAATTTCATTTTCTAATTACTCATTGCCAGTATATAGAAATGTAATTGATTTTTGTATATTGACCTCTATCCTGAAATTTTGCTAAACCAAATTAAAATTTTTATAACATTTCTTACAGATCCTATGGGATTTTTCTGTATAGTCAATGTCATTTGCAAGTAGAGGCAGTTTTATTTTTTTCTTCCCAATCTGTATGTCATTTTATTTCTTTTTCTTGCCTTATTTCACTAGCTAAGAGCTCTAGTACAATACTGGTTAGGAGTGGTAAGGGGAGATATCTTGCTTTTTTTTTTAATTTTAGGAAGAAAGTTTTCAATATGTGACTATTAAGTATGATAGCTTTAGGTTTGCTGTAGACACACTATATCTAATTGTGAAAATTTCCTTCTATTCTTAGAATGCTGAGCATTTTATCTTTTTAAAATCATGCATGAATATTAAATTTTGCCAAATGCTTTTTTATCAGCTATTGAGATAATCATATATGTTTTCTCTTTAGTCTGCTTGAATTACATGGATTGATTTTTCTAAAGTTGAAACAACCTTCTATTCCTAGGATAAACCGCCCTTGGACATCATATATTATCTGTTTCACATACTAAAGGATGATTTTTTTTTTTAAGTTTTTTAGAACTGATGGCCTGGCACGGTGGCTCATGCCTGTAATCCCAGCACTTTGGGAGGCCGAAGTGGGTGGATCACCTGAGGTCGGGAGTTTAAGACCAGCCTGACCAACATGGCAAAACCTCATCTCTACTAAAAGTACAAAAATTAGTCGGGTGTGGTGGTGCATGCCTGTAATCCCAGCTACTCAGGAGGCTGAGGCAGGAGAAACGCTTGAACCTGGGAGATGGAGGTTGCAGTGAGCCGAGATCACGCCACTGCACTCCAGCCTGGGAGACAGAATGAGACTCCATCTCAGAAAAAAAAAAATGTTTTTTAGAATTATGATGTTCATGAGGGATATGTATCTCTTTTTTCTTATGTTTACCTAATTTGTTATTAGAATAAAGCTAGCTTGATAAAGGACAGATAAATATTTCCTTCTCTTCTATTTTCTGGAAGAGTTTGTGTAGAATTTGTATTATTTCTTCCTTAATTGGGTAGAATTCATAGGTGATGCATTTGGACCTGGAGTTTTATTCATAAAATGATTTGTATTACAAATTCAATTTATTTACTAGATACAGGTCTAGATTATCTATTTCTTCTTGAAGAAAACTTGATAATTTGACCCTTCTAAGAAATATATCTATTTCAGCATGTGTTGGTATACTTAGAAAGGAAACATGTCTATTTCATCTAAGTTATTGAATGCATTTGCATAAAGTTGTTTGTAATACCTGCTGATTATCCTTTTAATGTCTTTGGGGTCAGTAATGACGTTCTTCTTTTATTTCTGATATTTGTTTGCAATTTGTGTCTCCTCTTTTTATTCTAATCACTCTGGCTAAAAGTTTATCTTTTTTGTTGTTCTCAAAAAAACAAACAGCTTCGTTTTCATTGATTTTCTCTATGGTTTTTCCATTTTCTATTTTATTGATTTCTCTTCCTATGTTTATTATTTCCTTTCTTTTACTTACTATGAGTTTTATTTAAGGTAGAAATTGAAGTTTTTGAAATGACAGTTTTTTTCTTTTCCAATATAGTTGTCTAATGCTATAGATTTCCTTCTCAACACTGTTTTAGCCGCATCTCACAAATATTAATATGTTGCTTTTCATTTAAATTAAATTTAAAATATTTCCCCCTTTTTTTTTTTTTTGAGATGAAGTCTCGCTTTGTCGCTCAGGCTGGAGTGCAATGGCACAATCTTGGCCCACTGCAATCTCCGCCTCTGGGGTTCAAGTGGTTCAAATGATTCTCCTGCTTCAGCCTCCCGAGTAGCTGGGATTATAGGCATGTGCCACCACAGCCGGCTAATTTTTGTATTTTAGTAGAGACGGGGTTTCACCATGTTGGCCAGGCTGGTCTTGAACTCCTGACCTCAGGTGATCTGCCCGCCATAAGCCTCGCAAAGTGCTGGGATTACAGGCATGAGCCACTGCACCCAGCCCCAATTTCTATTTTTATCTTTTCTATGACTCACTTGTTGTTGAAAATTGTGTAGCTTAAATTCCAAATCCTTGGGAATTTTTTCAGATATCTTTCTGTTATAGATTTCTAGTTTAATTCCTAGTTTAAATCACAGAAGATACTTTGCATATAATTCTATTTAAATTTATTGAGGTTTGTTTTATGGCCGGGAATATGGTCTTTCTTTGGTGAATGCTCCGTGTGCACTTGAAAATAATGTATATTCCACTGTTATTGGGTTGGATGTTCTATAAACTTTGATTAGGTCAAATCAGTTAATAATATTGTTCTTGCCTTCTATATCCTTACTGATTTTCCCTTTACTTGTCTTCTTGATTACTGAAAGAGGAGTATAAATGTCTTAATGATTAATTTGTCTACTTCTTTTAGCTCTAGCAGTTTTTGCTTCATGTATTTTGAAGGTCTGTTGTTAATTGCACACACATTTATGCTTTTTACCTCTTCTTATATCTTGTTTTAAACTTACTCCTTTATTATTATTTAAGGTCCTTCTTTATCACTTTTAGCATATTTTGCCTTTATAGGTACAATGGGTTTGTTTTGTAGACAGCATGTAAGAGTACTATGCTCTTTTTATTTTTTATTTCAGGGAAAAGCAGTTACAAAGTTTCCAACCAGCACAAATTCCATAGTCAGGTTTTCCACATGTGGGGAAATGACAGGGGTCAGCACATCCAACGTGCAATGGACAAGCCTTGCACTGGGTAAACCACGTTCATGGTCATGGAATCTCATTTACCAGGTAAGTATTGGTCTTGCTTTTCAAAAATCAATCTGATACTTTCTGCATTTTAATGGGAAATTTAATGTAATTATTGACATTGGTTAGATTTAAATCTGCCATCTTGCTATTTGTTTTATATGTATTCTATTTAGTCTTTGTTCCTTTTTTCCCTCTTTTTCCTTCTGTTCTGAATTAATGGAGTATTTTTATGATTCCATTTTACACTCACTATCGTTTTTTAAAAAACATGTATTTTGGGGGCCGGGCACGGTGGCTCATGCCTGTAATCCCAGCATTTTGGGAGGCCGAGGCGGGTGGATCATGAGGTCAGGAGATCGAGACCATTCTGGCTAACATGGTGAAACCCCGTCTCTACTAAAAATACAAAAATACAAAAATTAGCCGGGCATGGTGGTGGGCGCCTGTAGTCCCAGCTACTCGGGAGGCTGAAGCAGGAGAATCACTTGAACCCGGGAGGCGGAGCTTGCAGTGAGCTGAGACTGCGCCACTGCACTCCAGCCCGGTGACAGAGCAAGACTCTGTCTCAAAAATAAAAACAAACAAAAAAACATATCTTTTATAACTTTTTAATGGTTGCCATAGGTCTGCTAATATATACCTTTAATTAGTCACAATCTACCTTGAAACTATTGTGTTTCACATGTAGTTTAAGGATCTCACCCTCACAACTCTATACTCCCAAGTCCTCTTTCCCATCCTTTGTGCTAAAATTTTCATAAGTTTTAGAAGTAAATATTCTACCAGCATACACTACATGGCTACTACTTTTGCTTTAGTCATTCCATTATCTTTCAGGGCAATTATCAACTTAAAAATGTCTTTGATATTTACCTTCCTTTTCAGCATTTCTGTAATCTTCATTTCTTTGTGTACAACTAAGTTTCTAGGATCTTATTCCTCCTGCTAAAGTACTTATTTAATTTTTCATCTTGCACAGATCTGCTGATGTTAATTCTTTCATCTTTCGTTTGTTCAAAACAATATTTATTTGACTTTATTTTAAAAGATATAGAATTCTTGCTGATTCAAGCAATGGATAAAAAATATAGAATTCTGAGATGCTAGTTTTTTTTTCTTTCAATGCTTTAAAGATGTCACTCTTGTCTTCTGGGTTGCATAAATTCTAATGAGACATCTACTATAATTCTTATTTGGGTTGCCCTCAAGATTTTCTTTTGACTCTTGGTTTCCAGCAGTTTGAATTTTATTTGTCTAGTTAGATTTTTTTCCTTACATATGCTGCAAGGGGTCCCATGCATTTCTTGGATATGTATTTTGATGTTTTCCATTATTTTTATTTTTTCAAATATTTCATCTGATCAGTTTTTTTCTTTTTTATTCTGTTTGTATGGCATCTAACATCTCTTCATCTCATGCTTTGACTCAGGTATGACAGTGCTTGCATCCTAATAAGGGCCTTTCTTTAAATTTCAGTCTTCTTGGTTGTGCTGCAACCTTTGTTCTCTGATGGAAAAAAGTGTTATAATTGTACTGTTTATCTGGAGCTTTCTTGTTATGGTAGATGTTATGTTTTCTTTCCAGTTTTCCTATACACCGATAATATCCAAGCTGAAAGCCAAATAAAAAACACAGTTCTATTCACAGTAGCCACAAAAAAGTAAAGTAAAATGCCTAGCAATACAGTTAGCCAGGGAGGTGAAAGATTTCTACAATTAGAACTACAAAGCACTGCTCTAAGAAATCAGAAATGATACAAACAAATGGAAAAACATTCCATAATCACGGATAGGAAGAATCAATATTGTTAAAATGGCTATACTGCCCAAAGCAATTTATAGATTCAATGCTATTTTTATCAAATTACCAATGATATTCTTCACAGAACTAGAAACAACTATTTTAAATTTCATATGGAACCAAAAAAGAGCTCGAATAGCCATGGCAATCCTAAGCAAAAAGAACAAAGCTGGAGGCATCAAGTTACCTGACTTCAAACTATACTACAAGGCTACAGTAACCAAAACAGCATGGTACTGGTACAAAAACAGACACACAGACGAACACAACAGAATTGAGAGTCCAGAAATAATGCTACAGACCAACAACCATCTGATCTTTGATAAAGTTGACAAAAACAATGGAGAAATAACTCCCTATTCAACAAATGGTGCTGGGATAACTGGCTAGCCATATGCAGAAGATTGAAACTGGACTCCTTCCTTACACCATATATAAAAATTAACTCAAGATGGATTAAAGACTTAAATGTAAAACCCCAAACCATAAAAACCCTGGAAGATAATCTAGCAACTACCATGGTGGACATAGAACCTGGCAAAGATTTCATGACAAAGACACCAAAAGCAAGTGTGACAAAATAAAAAATGGACACATGGGACCAAATTAAACTAAAGAGCTTCTGCACAGCAAAAGAAACTATCAACAGAGCAAACAGACAACCTACAGAGTGGGAGAAAGTATTTGTAAACTATGCATACAACAAAGGTCTAATATCCAGAATCTGTAAGGAACTTAAACAAATCAACAAGCAAAAAACAAATCCCATTAAAAAGTGGGCAAAGGACAGAATAGACACTCTCAGAAGATACACATGTAGTCAACAAGCATATGAAAAAATGTTCAACATAACTAGTCATTACAGAAAGGTAAATCAAAACCAGGATGAGATGCCATCTCACACCAGTCAGAATGGCTATTAATAAAAAGTAAAAAAATAACCGATGCTGATGAAGTTATGGAGAAAAGGGAATGTTTATACACTGCTGGTGGGAAGGTAAATTAGTTCAGCCATTATGGAAAGCAGTTTGGCAATTTCTCAAATAACTCAAAGCAGAACTACCATTCAACTCAGTAATCCCATTATTAGGCATATACCCAAAGGAATATAAATGATTATACCATAAAGACACATGCACATGTATGTTCACTGCAGCACTATTCACAATAGCAAAGACATGGAATCAACCTAAATGCCCATCAACAGTAGACTGGATAAAGAAAATATGATACATATACACCATGAAATACTACACAGACACAAAAAAACAACAAGAACATGTCCTTTACAGCAATATGGATGGAGCTGGAGGCCATTATCCTACATAAGCTAACACAAGATCAGAAAACAGATACTGCATATTCTCACTTTTAAGTGGGAGCCGAACATTGAGTACATATGAACACAAAGAAGGGAACAACAGACATTGGGGCCTCCTTGAGGGTGGAGGGAGGGAGAAGCGTGAGGATAAAAAAACTATCAGGTACTATGCTTATTACCTGGGTGGTGAAATAATCTGTACACCTAACCCCCCTGACATGAAATTTACCTATATAAAAACCTGCACATGTACCCCAAACCTAAAACCAAAGTTAAAAAAATAAAAATTAAGATTAAAGTTTTACTATGAAAAACCATAAGTTTACACGGATATTTCCAATTGCAATCAAACATTACAGAGTACATTTCCTTTTACCCATGTCCACATGCATTTCCCTTCTCAACAGTGGGAAACCTGACTCTCATCCTCTTATTATCATAGATATGTTATATATATTATACATATATTGTGTATATTAAATTATAAAATATTACTATAATAAATGCATTTTATTAAGTCTAGAATACAGAGAATGTTTCTGAATTGCCAGCCCATACCCTTGTGAAAAGCAAACCTGCTATCGTTCAATATCTCTTCATATTTTTAAAGATAAAATTTACATAACTGAAGTGCATAAATCGTAAGTGTTCAATTTAATGGCCTTTAAAAATTTACATAATTATAATATTACATACTTACATACTTATAATATTACAAATTTACATACTTATAATATTACAAATTTAACCTCTTGTTTGAAGACTGCTTTGGATAAGCTCCCCATGCAACTTTAACATCTCTTTATTACAAAACTTATTGCAATGATTTCTCTGTAGAGTCATCCATTCTTTAGAGAAGTCCACTGTGTTCACTAGAATATTAACTCATTAAAGAAAGGGACTATGCCTTTTCAGTTTGGGGTCTCTACTTTTGGACAGTATCTGGTATACAACAAGGTACCAATGAATGTTTGCTACATAAGTAAAGTTCCATTGGAACAAATACCCTGCAGCTTTAAATAGGGGAGCTGTGTAATTTTAAATCTAAGATCTGCTTACTACTAAATCATCAGCTAAGGGAGATTCTACTAAATCACCAGCCAAGGGTGTTACGACAAGAATTGTCAGAGCATGAAAGGAAAAAGAAGGCAGCAGTTGAAATGCTAATAAATCATTAGGTTCCTATAACTCTTTACAGAGACATAAAGCTGCTCTAATCACTTATCAACTAGCCTTTGAAATTGGTGGGTGGCACAAATTATTTCCACTATATTTATATATTAAGACTTCAGTCTTAGCAAGATATTTCAAAGTAAGTATAGGTTATCTGTCCAAAACTTAATGGAGAAGAACATTTTTGTAGTTCTTGGTTGATATTCTGACATCTAAGATTATTATTTTCAGTTGTCTAAAAGCAGAGGGTAATCAAATCTGTTGACAGGTATTACTTTTATAGCACTAACTATCTTGGCAAAGAGAGAGGTTACATGTACTGAAATATGATTACACAGTTGTTTTGGAGTCGTGTCTGGAGATGTTCTGTTTTTCTTTAAATAACAATAACGAAGAATATTATATTCTTATATATATAATTTCATCAAATACTTGTTTCAAATGTCTGTAAGAAACTACCACAGAGCAGTTTTATAAAAAGAGCCCTGGAGAGAAATTTTAAATTTCAATTAATTTAAAACTGGATTCTGTCTCTGGATCATCCAGCTGCCAACTTGAAACCTTAGTCAAGTCATAATACTTTCAGCTAAAGGAAGACAATAAAGCTACTTCATAAGGTTGTTATGAAGGCTAAATAATATGTCATTAATAATAATAATATTAATAATAAAAATAGAGTGAATTATATGTATTGGGGACTTACCATATGCTAGACACTCCAAATTTTGTATTTAATTCTCACACAACCAAATGAGGTAGGCCTTATTATTACCCTTTTTGAATGATGAGAAAACTGGAGTTTAGAGAAATTAAGTGTATTGCTCAAGGTCACACACAGTAAAGTAGTATAGCAAGAATTCAAATCCAGGTCTCTCATACCAAAATACAATTGTAATTGCATTTCTTCCCAAATACATGTAAAGTGCCTAACAGAATGTCTGACATATATGAAATCATCACGATGTGCTAGTTCCTTTTGTTTCTTACTCTACATCCTCTAGCACATCTCAAACATGCTATCAAATTTAACAACCACCTAAAATATATTATGCCATCAAATCTGCATTGCCAACTCAAACCACCTTTCTCCAGTCTCAAGAACTATACATCCAGCTTCTTTAAGTGTCCAACAGGCATGCCAAATTCAAAATGGCCTCATGCAAACTTATCACTTTTCTCTTAAATGTGCTCCATTTATGATCCCCAAACAGTGAATATTACCATTTATTCAGATGCCTAAAATAGAAATATGAGAGTCAGGGCTTTTAAAAAATAGTTTTGTAATCTGATTTAAGTCTTCAATGCTTATTGACATGTTGTTTATATTTCCTAGGATGACTGATCAAATCTTTCTAATCATTAAAAATTCAGCTTACATATTATCTCCCCTTTGGATCTTTGTAATATCAGTTAAATAGTATCACCTCTGTTCAGCTGCCATACCTTGTATATAACTCTTTTTTGTTATCATACTATATTTTAGTGATAAATTTTCATATTTCTCTCTTCTCCTACACTAACACAGTACATCTGAACTTTTGGGATGATAGAAATGTTCTATATATGTGCTGTCTACTATGGTAGTCAATAGCTACATGTGGCTATATATTGAGCATTTGAAATGTGGCTAGTGGTATTAACGTAATACCTGTCTGTCAACACAGGAACTAACTTCTTAATTTTGTTTATTTTTGCTTAATGTAAAAATAATTTTAAAATAGCTACACATGGCTAGCAACTACCGTAATGCACAGTGTAGCACTTGATTTTGAGCTCGGTGAGGGCAAATACCATATCTTACTCACTTTTATCCTATGCCTAGAACATAGCAGATCCTCAAAAAATATATGGAGAATGAGTGAATGAATGAATAAATATTTTACAGTGGTAGAATAGAGAAAAATCTACTTATCATAAGCACCAGGGAACTATTACATAGAGGTACTGTGAAAACTAATAAGCACTGATTTCTTGGTGAATAAAAACTTAATGCAAATAAGTTTCTAAAATGAAATGGAGAAGTAATTTCTATCGGGTCAACCCACTCTCAGGTAACAAAAATAAGCTCCATACAAAATATAAAATATAATTGGATTAATCTAAAGGCACTCTAGAAGACATGAAAGAAATTGGAGGTAAACTTATACTTGAAAGAAGGAAATGGCCATGTAGTTTTCCTGTTTTGATACAACATTTTGCTGGAGGGTAGGCCCTAGTTGCAGCTTTCTTGGTGGGTAAAACTCCAGTAGAAATCCAGTCTTATTGGCTTGGAGAACCACAGGACAGATTTTGGAGGCCATGGCAGCTGGAGATTGAGGGGGAAACCCACAAAAGGTAAAAGCCATGGGTGGGGCGGGGCAAGGGGGATTCTATATATGAACATGGATAAAATCTCTGGCTGACCCCTGTACTACATATGCACAGGGATAACTCCAAATAGGCCTTATGAGTCTAAAATAACTGAATTGAGTTTTCAGCTGCTCCACTCCACAAAAAACAGGATTGGAGTTTGAATTAAAGTTAAATTAATTGCCTGCTTAAAAACAAAAACAAAGAAAACAAATTCCTCAAAGGGACATAACAGATTCCAGTGTCCCTACAACACATCATTCATAATATTCATGTGATCCACAATTACTAGATTTATGAAGAAACAGAGAAATGTGATCTCAAGACAAAAGGCAAATAAGTGAAGACTGACACTGCGATGACCCAGAGGTTGGAATTAGCACATAGGGATTTTAAAACAACTATTATAACCATTCCAAGGATTTAGAGAAAAACATGCTCACAATGAATGAAAGGAGAGAAAATTTTAGCAGAGGAATCAAAACTACAAAAGAGAAACAAATGAAAATCCAAAAAATTTTTTAAAACCTGTATTTAAAATTTGCAAGATAACTTTAACAGTAGATTAAAATGAGAAAGTCAATAAATTTGAAGATAGAGCAATAGAAAGTAGCTAACCTAAAAAAAACAAGAGAAAAGATTAGAAAAAAGTAGAGTCTCAGTGATCTGTGGAAACAATGTGGAAAGGTCTAGCATATGTGTAGTTGTAGTCTCAAAAGAGGAGAGAGAGCAAAAATATTTGAGAAAATAATTGGAAAATATTTCCCAAGTTTGGTGAAAGGCATACATTTACAGATATAACTATAACAAACCCAGTGAAGCCCAAGCAGGAAAAATACAAAGAAAACCACATGTATGCACATTAGAATCAAACTTCTCAAACCATGGTTAAAGAGAATCTCTTGAAAACAACCACAGATTAACCACAGATTAACATATTCCATAATGTAGAATGATATGAAATAACAATAATTTCTTATCAGAAACAATGGACACAAGGAGACAGTGGAATGACATTTCTAAAATGGTGAAAGGAGGAAAAAAGTCAACTAAATGCAAAAAAAAACATTTGAGGATGAGGGCAAAATAAAGATTTTCAGGTAAATGAAAATAATTTTTATTAGCAGACCTACAGTACAAGAAACACAAGGGAAATTCTTTTTTTTTTTTTTTTTTTTTTTTTTGAGACAGAGTCTTGCTCTATTGCCAGGCTGGAGTGCAGTGGTGCAATCTCAGCTCATTGCAACCTCCGGCCCCTGGGTTGAAGCGATTCTCCTGCCTCAGCCTCCTGAATAGCTGGGACCACAGGTGTGAGCCACCACGTCCAGCTAACATTTGTATTTTTAGTACAGACGGGGTTTCACCATGTTGGCTAGGATGGTCTCAGATCTCTTGACATCGTGATCCGCCCACCTTGGCCTCACAAAGTGCTGGGATTACAGGCATGGGCCACAGCGCCTGGCTAGAAACACAAAGGAAGTTCTTTAGGCAAAAGGAATTAATGCCAGGTGGACACTCAGTCTTTAGAAAACAATGCAGTGCCCCAAATGATATATAGGTGGCTAAATATTAAGATTTGTCCCTTTCTCCTAATTTGTTATAAATAAACATGACTAAAGAAAAATCTATATTTGCTTTAAACCCCACATTGTATTGTGGGATTGATAACATTTTTAGATGAAGTACATATGACAACCAAAACAGAAGAAGTAAATGAACCTCTATTTTCAGAAAGATTCTGCTTTACACAAAATGGTCCAATATTAAATCTAAGTAGGCTGTGAAAAATCAAGAATGTAAACTATGACCCCTAGAGCAACCACTTGAAACAATATAAAGTTATATAACTAAAAAGCCAACAATTCATTAAAAAATAATTCTCAAAAAAATTGAATTAAACAAAAAAAATTGAGAAAGTAGTAACAGAATTTAAAAACAAAAAGCAGGCAGGACCAACAGAAAATAGTAGTAAAACTGTTGGTCTAAACTCAACTCTGTCAATAATTCAATTAAATGGAAATGAACTAAATGCTCCAATTAGAATTCATAAATTCTCAAAGGAGATAAATGAGTAAGATTCAACATAGTTTCTCCATTAGAGATGAACTTTAAATATAAAAATACAGATATGTTGAAAGCAAATGACAGGAAAAGATTTATTATGCAAACTGTAAGCCTAAGAGGGCTGGATTGGCTATATTAATATCAGATGTAATAGATGCCACAAGACAAAAAGTAAAAACAGACATACTGTAATAATGAATAAATTTGCATAAAGACACAATAATTATACATGTATATGGGCCTAATAAAACAGGTTTAGGATACGTGACATGAAAGAGTAACATAATTAAAGGGAGAAAGAGACAACTCCACAATGATAGTTGGAGATTTTTTGTGCCTATTCTGCTTATGTAATATAGTTGGAGATTTTAACATTTAATAACAGCAATTGGCAGAACAAGTAGATAAAAGATCTGAATAATGCCTTCACTCTCCTTTACCTAATTGACATTTATAGAACACTACACCCAACAATTGCGGAATAAACATTATCTTCAAGTAACATGTAATGTTTACCAAGATAAACGAAATGCTGGGCCATGAAACAAGTCTCAGCGCATTTTAAAGATTAAAATAATGCAGACAATGTTTTTGGACCACAGTGGAATTAAATTAGAAACCAAAAACAATAAGATGTCAAAGGAGGATAAAATTCACATATCTGGAAATTTAAACACATATTGTCTATAATCCATGGGTCAAAGAAAAAAGTCATAAGACATATTAAAACTATTTCAAACTGAATGATAATGAAAATATATCAAAATTTGTGGAATACAGCTAAAGTAGTGCTAAAAGAGAAATTTATACCTTTTAAATGCTTAGGATAGGAAGGAAGAAAGGTATACAATGAATGACCTTTGTTTCCACAGTAAGATCCAGAGAAAGAAGAGAAAAGTAAATCCAAAGTAAGTAGAGGGGCCGGGTGTGGTGGCTCATGCCTCTAATCCCAGCACTTTGGGAAGCCAAGGTGGGAGGATCACTTGAGGTCAGGAGTTTGAGACCAGCCTGGCCAATATGTTGAAACCCTGTCTCTACTAAAAATACAAAAATTAGCCGGGCGTGGTGGCACATGCCTGTAGTCTCAGCTACTTGGGAGGCTGAGGCAGAAGAATCTCTTGAACCTGGGGGTTGGAGGTTGCAGTGAGGTGAGATCTTGCCACTGCACTCCAGCCTGGGCTGCAGAGTGAGACTCTGCCTCAAGACAACAACAATAACAACAAAAACAAAGAAAGTAGAAGGAAGGAAACAATAAAGATATTATAAGAGGAGGAAAGTATGAAACAGAAAACAGACAAATGATAGAGGAAATTAATAGGTATAAAACATTTTGGGGTTTTTCTAGGGGAAATGACATTAAAGTTTGACATGCAGAAGAAAAGAGAAATCACCAATATCAGGAATAAGTATGTGAATATATTACAGATCCAACAAACATGAACAAGTGTATGCTAATAAATTCAACAACTTAGAAGGAATGGACATATTTTCTGAACAATACAACTTACTAAACTGACACAAGATGAAATAAAAATTCTTAACTAGTCCTATATATATAAAAGAAATTGAATTTGTTATCAAAATCTCCCTCTGAACTCTGTTAAACATTTAGGTAAGAAAAAAATAACAATTTTACACAAATGCTTTCAGAAACCCAGGAGGAAGAAACACATCCCAGTGCATTTTATGAAGTCAGCCTGATCCTGATACTAAACTTGACACAGACATTTCAAATAAAGAAAATGAAAACACGAGTCATGTTAAGTTGATTTTCTTTCCCCATCACTAACAGGAAGGCAGGAGGGCCTGAGTTTGCGGGTAGGGAGTGCGGGCTAGCTTGCTGGTAGGGCTACAACATCAAACTTGTATGCAGTTCCCAACTGCACATGGAAGAAAATGAAGCCCAATCTGGCCTTCAGGTTACTACAAGACCTTGAAAGAAGCCTGAGGTGGGTGAAGAAATGTAGAAAAATTAACTTACAAGGTAAAACACCTGATTGGCTGAGTAAACATTATTGTCAAACACTTTGAGAACTCTATGATTTATAAAACTAGTACTTACAGAAGAGTTATTTGCAATTATGCTATGCCAGCAATGGTTGATTTTACTGGTCATCTGAACAATCCACATGGTGGACATTGAAAATAAATAAGATAATTGTGATAATTAAATCAGGACACAAATGGAAAAAATGATGAAACTCCTGAATAGAAACAAACCAATAAAGAAACAACAGCAATACACAGAACTCCAATGCCGAAGAAGAAAGTGAAGAACAAAATGAAGGCATTTCACCCCTAAACTTTGAAGAGAATAAAAACAAAGATCACTTAACATTTTTATTTGAAGTTTGGTTTTTACAAAATACACCTTTGGATGAAAATGAGGCTGACCAAATCTCAAAGGGTTTCTTTTCTCCTTTTAATGTTTAAGCACTGCTGGAGTTCAGGGTACTTTCTGGTGAGGCAGTCCTGAGAAAGTTCTTTGAAACACATTATTCAGTTTGAAAACACAACAGAAACAGGTGCTTGAGATCTACAAGAGCTGCACTGGGAAGAAACGGGGAAGTGAGAGATTCACTTCTTTCCTACTGTCGCTAATATGGAGGACATAGCTGAGAAAAAGCAATCACCGGTATTGGTTAGGCTCACTGATGAATCTCAGGGCCAGAGAGAAGGATGTGGGATTTCTCCCTCCTGAAGCTGATGCAGGAAGTTTGGCTGTGAAATGTCACACTACAATAACTGAGAAGTGGGAAATGAACAAGGAATTCTGGTGTGACCTGGCTTAGATTATATCTAGTAGACTTTCTTTCAAAATGGCAATCATGGTAACTAGAACTTTAGAGAAATAATCCCAACATATCTCCACACCTTGCTCTTCCTCTGCCTTAAATATGCAGAAGTCGAAATCAGTTTTCTGTTGTGGGAGGATCATCTATTGCTTTGGGAGCAATTAAAGATGTTCTTTTTTTCTGTTGATCACAAGAGTTTTAGAGCTCAATAATATAATGTCTGTCCTCTTTCAGAACAACAAAGAAAAGGCAAATGAACTGAAGGAAATCTGCTATTCACAATGTACAGGCATGCATGATGCTTTTGAAATGTTTTTGCTAGCAATTGTTTTGTGTTTAGATGATATAAAGGTTGACACAAATGTTAGATGGAATACCTTTATAGCTGGTTGAGCTTTTGTTCTCTGTAGTGCATTAATGTTTTGATTTAATTATAAATTGTTGTTCATAAAAGTATCCTATTTTCAGAAAGACCATCTGGAAAAAATCTCCAGGGCCACACCTCTGATGTCTTCTTTGCAATAGGCAGCTTGACTGCAGCGTTGCATTGCAGAAAGAGATTGAAGATATTTACATTTATTGTAAATTTTGATTTGAGGAAGCCGCAGGGTTGACAACCATACTTGATGCTGAAATGCTGGGAAATTCCTCAAGGCTCAGCAAGATAATCTAGAATCTAAATTAACCACAGAGAATTACTATAAAGAAATAGTGCTCCACCATGAGGCACATTATCCATGACCTTAAAGACATTTTCTTAGAACAGTACCTCACAGTTCCTAAATGTTCTTAAACAGTCAAAAGCAGTTCACTGGTGGCCTCGGTCATAGAACAGCTTACACTGAACACCATGCCAATGTGTACTCAGCTGACTTATTCAATCCTGATACATTCTCTGCCAACCTTCATTGTTGGAGGTTAAGGCCAAAACGCAGAAAAAAAGACAAAGAGCTTCCACCCACCACGTATAAAACTCCCTATTTATCTCACTTAAAGTTTTTTTTTCTTACTGTCTACATGTTACTGAAGGTCCTGTGTATTCTTCCTTTTGATGAAGTTTGAGAATGAAAGCTATGAAATTGGATGAAAGTGTCTCAAACCACAACTAAGAAGCACTTCAACGGACCAGAGGTCAAGTAACTTTACACTGCTTAACATAAATGTTGATATAAAATAGGATCTTAATTTAACAGTAGACACATATATAAAAAAGCTATACATAAAGCCAGAACTTCCTACAAGTACCTAAAAACCACTGAAAATGCCTAATAGTTTTTCTTTTTATATCTGATATTTAGAGGAAAAGCTGTGAGTTGTATTTTGGCCACTTAATCACTGAATATTTACCCACGGACCTTTCACTGAATATATTAAACACTAAAAACCTGCTGTTGAGTGGCCACTATTTGAACTTTCTTTCTTTGAAGACTTTTCCTTTCAGAATTTAGCATTAAAAGAACATTCCATTTCTGTTGTTGGCAAGCTAGGGATATTTTAGTAAAGTAATTTTGAGCATAATGTCATGAATCTAATTACCAGGTATTATTAAGTTACCAGTTGTTTTAAAAAGTAAATGTTAAGGAGGTGTGAGGAGAAGGAATATATTTTATAAAATATTACAATAAAGCACAGGATTGACCATTGACTAATGGGTGTTTTAGTGTATTGTTAGAAATATGGAAAGGGTAGTTAAGGAAATTACCAACCAGCAGCAGAAACTGTGAACTCACCAAACCGAGATTTCAATGTAGATTTCGTCTTTTTTATGTGGCCATAAAGACAGAATTAGAGTTTGGATAGAAAGTAATCCAAAGATGTTCCACATCTGGTTGTTTACATTCATTTGTTGGGTTTACATCTTAACATGTTCAAAGGAAGACATACAAGTGACCCAGAAACATATTTTAAAAAAGCACAACATCACTAATCATCAGAGAAATGCAAATTAAAACCACAGTGAGATATCATCTTACACTAGCCAGAATGGCCATGATTAAAAAGCCAAAAATCCAACAAGTGCTGATGAGGATACAGCAGAAAGGGAACACTTATATACTGTTGGTGGGAATGTAAATTAGTACAACCTCTATGGAAAACAGTATGGAGATTTCTTAAAGAACTAAAAATAGAACTACCATTTGATCCAGCAATCCCACTACTAAGTATCTACCCAAAGGAAAATAAATCATTATACTAAAAAGACAACTGCACTCATATGTTTATCACAGTACTATTCATAATAGTAAAGTTATGTAATCAACCTAAGTATTTATCAATGGATGATTTGACAAAGAGAATATCATATTATATATACATATATATTACGTCTCAGCCATAGAAAAGAATGAAATTATGTCTTTTGCTCAACAAGGATTGAACTAGAGGCCATTGTCCTAAGTGAAATAACTCAGAAACAGAAAGTCAAATACTGCATGTTCTCACTTCTAAGCGGGAACCAAACAATGGGTACACATGAACATACAGAGTGGAATAATAGACACTGGAGACTGTAAAGGTGGGAGGGTGGGAGGAGGATAGGGTTGAAATATTACCTATTGGGTACAATGTTCACTATTTGGATGACAGGTACACTAAAAGCCCAGACTTCCCCACTATGCAATATATTTATGTAACAAAACTGAACTTGTATCTTCTAAATCTAAATAAATACATACATAAAACCCTAAAAAAACACTAAGTAAACTAAGAAAAGATGGAAATTTCCTTGACCTGATAAAGGATATTTATGAAATTCTTATAGTTAATATAATGCTTAGTGGTGAAAGACTAACCGTATTCCCTTCAAGATTGGACTCAGGGCAAAGATGTACCCTCTTAATGTTGTAATAGAAGTCCTAGCCTATGAAATAGGGCAAGAAAATGAAATAAAGAATATAATGTTTGTTGATGTAGAAAATTCTAAGGAACGTATAAGCAACCACTAGAACTAATAAGCAAATTTAACAATATTACAGGATACATGGCCAATACTCCACAATCGTCCTTTTATGTACTAGCAGCAAACAATTGAAAAATTTTTAAAAATCCACTTACAATAGCAATTAGAAATATGTAAAATACTTACAAATAAATTAAATAAAACCATACAAAATTTCTACACTAAAAATTACAAAACATTGTTGAGATAAATTAAGGAAAACCCAAATAAATGAAGATATATACTATGTTCATGGATTAGAAGACCCAAATGAACATGAGAAAGAAAAAGACAATTGAAAGATTTACCCTATCTGAATTCAAAATGTGCTAAAGTTAATCAAGATAGTATATGGTATTGGCATAAGGTCTAACAAATATCAATGGAACAGAATAGAGAGCTCGGAAACAGACTCACACTTACACACTCAATTAATTTTCAACAGACGCACCAAAGTAATTATACTGGGGGCAAAGGAAAATTTTTTTTAACAAAAGGTGCTGAAACAATTGGATATTCAAATGGAAAAGTTTATGCAAAAGGAATCTGAATGTTCATCAATGCTTTTGTCTGGTATGGTAATCTGATGTGTTATCCTTTCCTATTTACATATTGGTAATGTAGTATCAGCTAATCAAAGCACTGTTTCCACTAATATAGTGATATTTCTACTGCAGGGGTACTCTTTTTCTTCTTATAAAAATAATCCTTTTAAATTATAAAAGCAACAGATTTTCACCAACAACAGCTCCAAAAATAACATATCAAGTAAAAATAAAAATAAAAATAAATTCCTTGTCATCACACAACCCAGAAATCACCAAAAGTGACATTTTGAGGTAGTCTTCCCAAAATAGTTTCTTTTGCCCACAGTATATTACTCTAGTGGTCTTCCTAATCTTCTGAATATGATGTCATAAAATTTGTATAATCTCACACAAGAACCATAGGAGACAGGGGAAAAAAACATTTGGATAATGCATTTTTCAACCTAATATTAACTTGCATGTAATTTTTTTCAAGACTTCTTGAGATTCAGTTACTTTTGTATTCATGTACTATGGCAATATTAGCTTTCATTTCATGATTTCTGCATTTTCATTTACTGAAGACATAAATTCTAATTTTAAGTTATATCCGAATTGTACTTCCAATAGACATCTATTTCTGAAGTATCTGCCAAACTTATAATGACTGTTCTTTTATGAAAATAACTCTATTCCCAATCCCCTATCCAAAATGTAACTTTAATGTTAAACAAGCATGACTCAAGGAATTAATTATGAAACAAATTTGTTTTTGTCATCTACTGTCACATTAAGTTTATTGTGCATGCTCCTTTCTTCCCTTGCCCCTGATGAAATTTAGGGCAAGTCACAAAACTGAACATTTCCACATTATGGTTAAAACCACAGAAGCAGTCTCTGGGCAACCAAATTTATAGTAGATAATCAGTTCCATGGCCACAGTTGATTGTTCAAGTTCTGGCAATCTGATTTAACTTGGGCAATTAGGCTCTCACCCAAGAATTTCTAAATTAAGTCCAAGAGTAAAGTTTGTCTCTTCATGTGTCCTGCAGCCATAGCCCACTTTGTAGCCTGAAGACCAGAGAAAGGAAGTCTTTAAGGAGAAAGAAGATAGGAGAAGATGCAAAAAGGAGAAGCAAAGATGTACAAACGTACTTCCTGGATTCTGTCAGCTGTCAGTTGTTGGTTTCACTTCCTTCCAGAACTCCAGTTTCATTCCTGCCTTTTGATTCTGTGAAACCCCTCAATCATTATAATGATTAATAATACCCAACTGCAGGTCGGGCATGGTGGCTTACGCCTGTAATCCCAGCACTTTGGAAGGCCAAGGAGGGCGGATCATGAGGTCAGGAGTTCGAGACCAGCCTGGCCAACATGGTGAAACTCTGTCTCTACTAAAAATACAAAAAATTGGCCAGGCATGGTGGTGCGTGCCTATAGTCCCAGCTACTTGGGAGGCTGAGGCAGGAGAATCACTTGAACCCGGGAGGCGGAGGTTGCAGTGAGCCGAGATTGTGCCACTGCACTCTGGCCTGGGTGACAGAGGAAGACTCTGTCTCAAAAATAATAATAATAATACCCAAATCCCAACCTTTCTTTTTTTTTTTTGGTCAAGTTGAGTTTCTGTTAAAAAGGCTCAAATAATACAAAAATTAATGTGGCTTGTGGGAGGTTTTCTCCTACAAACAACCAACCAGCCTTAATCATGGTCCATATACTTTTGGCTTCACCCATGGTGATAGCCCCTCTTTTATCTATTCCCTCAATCTGAGGGTACATTTTATTTTATTTATTTTTAATAATTTCAACTTTTATTTCAGATTCAGGGGGTATAAATGCAGCCTTGTTACATGGGTGTATTGCATGGTACTCAGGTTTGGGGTATGGATGATTCCATCACCAAGGTAGTCAGCATAGTATCCGATGGGTAATTTTTCAACCCATGCTCCATTACCTCTTCCCTCTAGAGGTCTCCAGTATGTACTATTCCCATCTTTATGTTGATGTGTACTCAATGTTTAGCTCTCAGTTATAAGTGAGAACATGTAGTATTTGGTTTTCTGTTCCTGCATTCACTTTCTTAAGATAATGGCCACCAGCTGCAGCCATGCTGCTGCAAAGGACATGATTTTATTATTTTTTACAGCTACACAATATTTCCTGGTATATATGTGCCACATTTTATTTATCCAGTCCACCATCAATGTGCATCTAGGTTGATTCTACGTCTTCGCTATTGTGAATACTGCTGTGATGAACATATGAGTGCACGTGTCTGTTTTGTAGAATGATTTCTTTTCCTTTGGGTATATATCCGGTAATGGAATTGTTGAGTCAAATGGTAGTTCTGTTTTAAGTTCTTTAAGAAATCTCCAAACTGTCTTCCATAGTGGCTGGACTAATTTACATTTCCATCAACAGCGTGTAAGCAATTACCTTTTCTCCACAGCCTCACCAGCATCTGTTATTTTTTGACTTTTTAATAGCCATTCTGAATGGTGTAAGATGGTATCTCACTGTGCTTTTGATTTGCATTTCTCTGATAATTAGTGATGATGAGCATTTTTTCATATGTTTGTTGGCCACTTATATGTCTTCTTCTGATAAGTGTCTGTTTATGTCCTTTGCCCATTTTTTAATGAGGTTACTTGTTTTATTTCTTGTTGAGTTGTTTTAAGTTCCTTACAGATTCTGGATAGAGTCCATTTTAGCTGTAAACTTCTGGTGCTTCCTGCGCACTCACCAAAGTGCTGAACCTAGAACTACTTAGACCATTTCTGCTCTCATAAAAGTTCAGTGTCAAACTTTTATGTATATTTTCCTGACTAGAGAGAGTAGATTGTCAGAAAATGATTATGATTTGACATTCAGTGACTTCTGTAGATTCTTTTTTTTTTTTTTGAGACGGAGTCTCATTCTGTCGTCTAGGCTGGAGTGCAGTGGTGCAAGCTCAACTCGCTGCAACCTCTGCCTCCCAGGTTCAAGCAATTCTCCTGCCTCAGCCTCCCCAAGTAGCTGGGACTACAGGCGCCCGCCACTACGCCTGGCTAATTTTTGTATTTTAGTAGAGACAGGGTTTCACCATGTTGGTCAGGCTGGTCTCAAACTTCCGACTTCAGGTGATCCACCCGCCTCTGCCTCACAAAGTGCTGGGATTATAGGTGTGAGCTACTGTGCCCAGCCTTTCAGATTCATTTTCAAAAAGTTCTAATTCCTTCTTGTTATTCACGGAAAAGAAATCAGGTTTTGTTTGCCTTACTATTATTTACAATATAGACAATAGTTTTAATACTGTGGGAATGAAGCACTTGAGTATTTTTTGTCTTTTGAATGTCAGTGAGTTCTATTTTCAGAAATTTGGCATGGGTTCAGCATAAATTTATGTGACATATATTTAGTGATTAAGACAAAAAGAATAGCACTCACTGACATTGCTAAATAAAAATTTTCCAGTACTACCAATATAATTTATCTTGTTTATTATAGCTTTAAGAATTTTTCTAGAAAACTGAAGATAGCAGAGAATTAACACAACTCTAAAATATCCTGAAAACTAATTTTTGCTTATATGATTGAGAAAATTATCTTCACATTTCACATTGCAGACTCTGTCTACCTTCAGTGAAATATTTTTGGCTTAGAAAACTAGTGTCTAGAACACATTAGGTTTCAGAAACAGTTTTTTGGCACTTCTGTAAGAAACTCCACTCAACTTATTGTGAAATTGTATTAAGTAAATTAAGTGAAAATTGTTTAGTAAGTATTCAATATTGTGTTAGGTGGTATAGCTATTAAGGGAAAAAAAGATGAGTTGTGGCCTTTGCCCTCACTTGTCTGATAAAATAGTTGAGAAGAGACGTAAAGCAACAATTAATAAAACAGGACAGCTCAGAGTAATGTGTATGCTGATTTTTAGAAGTTCTGAGATGAGAGAGAGAAAGATGGAGCAAATATAAACATAGAAGCTAAGAACAGAGGACACGGAGAGAGCAAGTTCATCCTGCATTTCTGACCACTTTTCTGTTATTCTTTCCTTGAGGCTCCACTGAAATGAATGAAACCTGAAATGGTAGAGAAAACTGCATAGAAGAGGTGAGATTTGATCTGGGGCCTGATGGAAGAGGCAAGATTGGAGAGGATAAAGGGTTGAGTGGATAACATAAGTCACAGCACAGAAATGAGAATATGCTCAGTTTTGCAGAGAAGCAATGCCTAACTAGAGTACAAGTGCATATTGAAGCCATGGGAAATTATACTGGGTGAAGATGGTGGATAAAGAGATGTCAGAGGAGTGTAAACATGAAGCAGCAGAACATAGGGAATGGCTGAGCACAGGGAATAAAAGAATTAAAATTGGGTTTGGAGAGATTAGTTGGTCAAGGTTATGCAAGACACACTGGAAGGGTGGAGACTGGCATCAAGCCAGTTAACTAGGGCATTGCTGTAGTGTTCCTTCCATGAGACAGCAAGGACTTGGGCCAGGACATGTGTGTCAGTGCATATGGTGAGACAGGATGAAAGCTTTTCAAGGAAGAAAAATACCTGGCTTGAGCATGCTGGGCTAGAGATGATGGTAGGACTTCTTGTCTAGCAGGAGTTTGAAGGTATGAGGCTGGAGCTTAGGGGAGAGGGCAGCAGGGAGAAACAGACTGACACAGAAGGGAGAGCCAATGGCATAGAAGTTACAACTGAAACTGAGAATGGAAGAGATTTCAGAAAGAAAGAATGTGAAGGGAAGGACAGAGAAATGTGAGTTGGGAAGCACCCACATTTAGGACATAGGATGAGTAAGATGAGCAAGCGCAAGAGGGAACACCCGGTCTGGAGTGTGAGACTCAGAGTGTGGCCAGAGAACCAAGGGAGCAGAGTGCTAAGGAGGAGGATGTCACCACTAGGGCAGGAAGAAGCTGGATGATCCAGAAGGTGAGGTCCTTTAGGAGAAGAGTTTCAATGGCAATCTGGGACTGGAAACGGGATCACATGGATGAAGGAGGAGCAGCAAGGCGATGGGCCAGTGGTCACATCAAATAGTGAAGCAGTTATGATGACAGGCTCTGATGGTCACAGTACCTGAATCCTGGTTCCACCCAAACTGTACAACTTAACGAGTAGAAGTGTATCTAAGTCCCAGTGCACTGGGTTGAATATGGTCCCCCAAATTCATGTCCTTCCCAGATCAGAATGTGACCTTCTTTCGCAGTAGGGTCATTACAGACATAACTAGTTAAAATGAGGTTATAATGGAGAAGGGTGGCTCCATAATCCAATATGACTGGTGTCCTTATAAGAAGAGGAGAGAGACACAGAGAGAGACATGCACAGGGAAGACACCCAGCGTGATGACAGAGGTAGAGACTGAGGTTATGCAGTTGCAAGCCAAGGAACGCTAAGGACTGCCGGCAACACCAGAAACTAAGAAAAAGGCACAGAACAGAGTCTCCCTTGAGGCTTCAGAAGGGGCTTGCCAACACCTTGATTTTGGACTACCAGCCTCTAGGTCTATGAGAAAATAAATTTCTGCTATTGTAAGCCACCAGTTTATAGTATTTTATTATGGCAGCATCAGGAAACTAATATACTCATCCTTAAAGTGAGGAGAATAACACTTTGCTCATAGGGAGGATTAATATAACATGAAAAATGCTTAACACAGTGTCTGCCCCATAGAAAGAACTCAGTTAAAGCCAGGTGCGGTGGCTCACACCTGTAATCCCAACCACTAGGAAGGCTGAGGCAGGAAGATTGCTTGAGGCCAGGAGTTCGAGACCAGCCTGGGCAACAGAGCGGGACCCCATCGCTAGGGGAAAAAAACGGAACTCAGTTAAATGTTGGCAATATACTGTGTTATTCTTTGAAGAATTTTTATTGTAAGGGAAAGGAAAAAGTGATCTTAGATGAGTCAGGTAAACAATAAAGTGAATGTTGTTTTCAATTTTGTTTCTCTTTTAATAGGAGTTATTTGTGTATATTTAAACACAGAAAATAAATAAGATCTCCAAGGAGAGGAAAATAGCTAAAGAATTGGGAGATGATATGATATCTTCATCGAAGACCAAATCTGGTGCAAATGAAAGATTTCAAGAGATGTGACTGTAAAGTAAAATATTTTTAGTTATGTAGTATTTTACTTTATAGTCACATTTGTATCATTTATAATTCCCAGTTGATATTACCCTTCAGAGAAGACACTCTGGAAGGTATGACTCTTATTCTAATGTTGTTACCATTAGCTCAAATACTTTTGAATTTTCTTCAAAACCAGGTTATGAATTACTCAGACAAAAGTTTTACCTCTTAAGATACACCTCAGTTTTGATCAAAATAAATATTTCCCAGGCTGGTCACTTAACTGACACAACACCAAACAACTTCTGACTATATCCAAACACCAAATCTACCCTCACATTATACACATTAGCACCATTGAGGGCTTTTTTAAAAATGGGCCAAATATTTATCAAAGCTGTTTTTAAATACCTAAATATGAAAAACAAAATTCTGATTTTAAATGGAAAATCAACCTTGTTGGCTTAAATTCCCAATGACTTCAAACCAGGCAAGCTTTTCAATATAAGTTTTTTGAAGTTATGTATTATACATAAATCTTTTCACAGTCATTAATAGCCCTAACAGGCTACTGTGACTGGATCAAAAATAAAACTTCCAAGGGGTGTATTTCTATTTCAAGGGGTGGATGTCTACTCAGTAATTTCAAAGTAAGTGATCAATTTAAACCCATAGATTTATTATTTTCATTCTCATGTCTTAGACCTCAGTATATATGAGAAGGAAATGGCCTTGCTTTTCAAAGGTTTACAAAGAATAGAAAGGAATAAACAATAATTTGAAAATGCTTAATTATCTATTCACACCATGTTCAAACTTTCAGAAGGGAAGGAAGGTGGGCAAAGGGCAAAAGGGCCTTTTTGTCTTCTCTTTAAGTAACTTTTCCAGAGGTTCCAGAGAAAGAGAGAAGAAGGTCATTAACAAAGTCACAATGAGATCTTTCATTTTTTTTTTTTAAACTTTGGTAAGAACCTAAGACCTGCCCTCTTAGCAATGAGATCCTTTAAATGGGCCTCTCCTTACACATGGACCAGGAATTTGTCAGGGCCTAATCTTCACCTTGGAGTCAATTAAATTCTTTATTCATCCTTCTACTGTACTTCACGCATTGTGTTTTTACAATAAAATACTAAACTGCACTTTGGAAGTTGAAAATCCAGGATGAATATAAGAAAGTTGAAACTAAAGGGGAAGATCCCTTGGCAGCCAGACTCAGAAGCAAGCAGCCCTCTTTGGTTGCAGGGAGGAAGTCACATTTTGTGGTGCAACTTGTTGGCTTACGTGCAACCCTTGGCCTAATTTTGAAAGATGACATCTAGTCAGCCATTGCCTAACTCAGTGTCTTACTCAAGAGATGTTTGTTAATTTGATTTTTACAACTGTCTTAAATTCCTTTGGTCATCTGGAAAGATGAAGAAACTAAAATAGTTGACAGGCTGCTCTAGCTGATACAAGCATTTTTCAAACTGAAAATTAGGTGACATGACCATGGCTATGAGGAAGGCCATTCATCTTATTCTATTTGTATAATTCCCTAAGCATTTGTGCAATATATATATCAGTGACTGGGTACACATTTATATATATATTATGAGTACACACACACATATATGTTATATATATTATGTAATATATGTAATATATTTGCTGAGTAAACACATTATGCTATAAATATACATATATAATACAAATAATAATACATACATATTACATATAATACATAGTCATGCATTGCATAACGACATTTTGGTCAACAATGGACCGTTTATACAGCAGTGGTCCCATAAGATAAAAATGGAGCTGAAAAATTCCTACCTATCGCTTAATGACATTGTAGACATCCTAATGTCATAGCACAATGCATTATTTATGTGTTTATGGTGATGCTGATGTAAACAAACCTCCCATGCAGCCAGTCATATCAAAGTAGAACACATACAATTATACATAATACACAATTGTATATAAAGAATGATAATAAAGAACTATGGGCCATGCACGGTGCCTCATGCCTGTAATCCCAGCACTTTGGGAGGCCGAGGCCGGTGAATCACCTGCGGTCAGGAGTTTGAGACCAGCGTGGCCAACATGGTGAAACCTCATCTCTACTAAATACAAAAAGTAGCCAGGTGTGGTGGCAGGCGCCTGTAATCCCAGCTACTTGGGAGGCTGAGGCAGGAGAATTGCTTGAACCCGGGAGATGGAGGTTGCAGTTATTCCGAGATTGCACCATTGCACTCCAGCCTGGAACACAGAGTGAGACTCTGTCTCAAAAAAAAAAAAAGTTAACATAAAATAGCCTCAGGTAAGTCCTTCAGGGGGGATTCCAGAAGAAGGCATTGTTACCATAGGACTTGACAGCTCCATGCGTGTTACTGCCCCTGAAGACCGTCCATGGCACAACATGTGGATGTGGAAGACAGTGATATTGACGAGCCTGACCCTGTTTAGGCCTAGGCTAATGCGTATGTTTGTGTTTTAGTTTTTAACAAAAGAATCTAAAAGGTAAAAAAAAAAAAAAAAGACAAAGTTTTGCAAACAGAAAAAAGCTTATGGAATAAGGATAGAAAGAATGAAAATATTTTTGTACAGCTGTAAAATATGTTTGTGTTTTAAACTGCTATTACAAAGAGTCAGAAAGCTTTTAAAATTTAAAAGTTTATATAGTAAAATTGTTACTGTAATCTAAGATTAATTTATCATTGTAGAAACATTTTAAAAATAAATTTAAGGTAGCCTAAGTGTGCAGTGTTTATAGAGTTTACAGTAGTGTACAGTAAGTTCCTGGGCCTTCACACTCACTCACTACTCACCCACTGACTCAGCCACAGCAACTTCCAATCCTACAAGCTCCATTCATGGTAAGTGTCCTATAGAGTTGTACCAATTTTTATCTTTTATGCCATATTTTGACTGTACCTTTTCTAAATTTAGATGTGTTTAGATGCACAAATACTTCCCATTGTGTTACAATTGCCTGTGGTATTCAGGACAGTAACCTGCTGTACAGGTTTGTAGCCTAGGAGCTATAGGCTGTACCATCTAGCAAAGGTGTGAAGTAGGCTATACTATCTAGATTTGTGTAAATACACTCCATGATGTTCACACAATGACAAAATTGACTAATGATGCATTTCCCAGAAAGAATCCTCATTGTTAAGTGATGGGTGACTATATACATTATACAAATAAAACATAATACATATGTATTATATATATTGCATATAATATGTGTAATTATAATGTGATATGGATTATAGAATGCAAATATATTTATTAATATTATATAACACATAGAATATATATATATATATATATACATGTGTTCTCAGTAACAGTTTGTTACCTATTTATTGTTTCTAATGTATGTTTTATTCTCCCTTAAATAGATGCTAAGGTCTTTGAGGGTAGAAAAAAAATCTTCTATTTCTTAACACTTATAATTAGTATAATGAAATGAAAGTGATAAAAATTATAAATTTGTGTTCAATCTCATACTTTTACAATAGGCCAGATATTGTCATTAGTTTCCCAATTAACCCAGATATTTACAATATGAGCTTGAAAAAGTTATCTAAGAAGGCATAAAAAATGAACATTAGATATTCATCACAGAAATAGAAAAAAACCCCTAAAATTTATATGGAACCACAAAAAACCTTGAATAGACAAAGCTCTCCTGAGCAAAAAGAACACAACTGGAGAAATCACATTACCTGATTTCAAATTATATTAATACTACAAAGCTATTGTAACCCAAACAGCCTGGTACTGGCATAAATACTGACACATAGACCAATGGAATAGAATACAGAACCCAGAAATCAATCCCTGCATTTAGAGTGAACTCATTTTTGACAAAGGTGCCAAAAACATACATTGGGGGAAGGAAAGTCTCTTCAATAAATGGCACTGGGAAAACTGGATATCCATATGCAAAAGAATGAAACTAGACCCTTATCTCTCATCACATACAAAAATCAAATCAAAATAGATTGAAGACTTAAATTTAACTAAGACCTCAAACTATGAAACTACTAAAAGAAAACATCAGGGAAATGTTCTAAGACATTGGTCGGGGCACAGATTTCTTGAGTGATACCTCAAAAAACACTGGCAACCAAAGCAAAAATGGACAACTGGAATCCCATCATGCTAAAAAGCTGCACAGCAAAGGAAACTATCAACAAAGTTAAGATACAGTCCACAAAATGGGAGAAATGTGTGCAAACTGTTCATCTGGCAAGGAATTAATAAGCACAATTTATAAGGAGCTCAATCAATTCAATAAGAAACAAGTCTAAAAATCTGATTTTAAAATGGGCAGAAGATCTGAATAGACATTCCTCAAAAGAAGACATACAAATGGGCAACAGGTATGTGAAAAAATGTTCAACATCACTAATCATCAGTTACATGCAAACCAAAACTACAATGAGATATCATCTCACACCAGTTAAAATGGCTTTTACCCAAAAGACAGGCAATAATGAACGATGGGGGAGGATGTGGAAAAAGGGGAACACTCGTACACTGTTGGTGGGAAAGTAAATTAGTACAGCCACTGTGGAGAGTAGCATTAAGTTTCCTCAAAAAACTAAAAATAGAATTACCATATGATCCAGCAATCCCACTGCTTGGTGTATTTCCAAAGGAATGAAAATTAGTACATTGAGAAGATATCTGCACTCCCATGTTTGTTGCAACACTATTCATAATGGCCAAGATATGGAATCAACCTAAGGGTCCATCAATGGATGAATGGATAAAGAAAATGTGATGCATATACCCAATGTAATATTATTCAGCCATAAAAAAGAATCAAATCTTGTCACTTGTAACAACTAGGATGGAACTGGAGGACATTACGTGAAGTGAAATAAGCCAGGCACAGAAGACAAATGTCATATGTTCTCACTCATATGTGGGAGCTAAAAAGTAGATAATTAAATGCACAGAGATAAAGATTAGAATGATGGTTACCAGGCCAGGCCCGGTGGCTTAAGCCTGTAATTCCGGCACTTTAGGAGGCCAAGACGGGCAGATCATTTGAGGTCAGGAGTTAGAGACCAGCGTGGCCAACACGGTGAAACCTCGTCTCTACTAAAAATACAAAAATTAGCTGGGTGTGGTGGTGCACGCCTGTAATCTCAGCTACTTGGGAGGCTGGGGCAGGAGAATCACTTGAACCCGGGAGGCGGAGGTTGCAGTGAGCCAAGGTCACACCACTGCACTCTAGCCTGGGTGACAAGAGTGAAACTACGTCTCAAAAAAAAAAAAAAAGATAATGAATGGTTAATGGGCACAAAAATTATAGTTTGATCAAATGAGTAAGAGCTAGTATTCTGTAGCACAATAGGGTGACCATAGTTTAAAAAAATGTATGTTTTAAAATAACTGAAAGAGCGGTATTGGAATGTTCCTAACACAAAGAAATAATGAATTCTTAAGATGAAGGAGATCCCAGTTACCCTGATTTGGTCATTATAAATGGTATGCCTGTATCAAAACTCACATGTACACCATAAATGGAATTATTACGTACCCATAATTAAAAACTTAAAAATTAATTTTAAAATAATTGTAATATTATGTACCCATAATTAAAAAATTAAAAAATAATTTTAAAAAAGAAAGAAAAAAGACCATTGGAAAAATTTACTTTCAGAGTTTCAATTTTTTTAATGCAACTAATATTTCTAGTTGAATTCAATTTATGATGGATTGGGTTAGGTACCCAATTGGACAGAACTTTAATATGGAGAAGAGTGATGGGGTAACATTTATTCTGTACGTTATATGAAAACTTAGAAAGTCATAATAAGTGAAGAAAGGTGGTCTGGATGAATTCTCTAGGAAACAGCCTTTGCCTGCTGCAAGGTGGCAGGATTTTGTGGGTAGACAAGATATACTCAAATTGTTTGTGTCTACAGAAAATTTGGATCATCTAGCTTTGATTAGTAAGCTGAATTTACCAGTTGACTTCTAGAAAATAGAATCACTGGAAACCTGGAATACAAAAGAATGCATTCTTGTCAGAGCAGTATTGGAATACTAATTAGGGAAGCTCAACCACTGAAGGAAAAGTCCCAAATTACAACAGGTTGCTAACCTAAAATAATCAAAATGGTCAAAATCTAGTTTAAGGAGAGTGTGTTCAAGTGCAATGGGGGGATGGCCCACCTAGGAAGTACAGATTCCAAAGAATGGAAGCCAGTGTTCCAAAGTGTAGGACTTATCTAAGCTTTAATGCCTCGTTACAATGATCTGATTAGCTAAGGTGGTCTTTTTCCCTTGAGAAAGGTACATTTAACATTCCACATGGAAGACGTAACTGTTATGGGGTCCTGAGCACCATCTAGTCTGAGTTAGATACAGGACAAAGGAGGCAGCTAATCTATAACAAAGATCAGTGATTGGAAGGAAAGATCTGGGCTCTGATCTGTCTTACTCATTTACAGAACAAGAACAGTGAGGAAGACAGTTAAGCTATAATGTAAGAAGCAGAATTCCAAACATATGACGTGACTCAGTCTCCAGGGCTTACCTTCCCTGTTGGCATAATAAATTCAGAGGGTCCTAAAATTTTATTTTCTTTTATAAACTCTATACCAAGGAAGTTCAAAGGGGATTCCAGATCAGCTGGGGGGCTCTCTGTCCTGTTCTATGCACTCTTTCAAGAAGCCAGGCTGATACTGGCTTTGACATCTTTGACATGTGACTTTCAAAAATACTGGAGTGTCACCATCCCAATGAATCAGAAAAGTAAAAAGAGTATGGAGCAACAGTTAAAAGAGGTTTTGATATGCCAGGCATGGAAGTGGCACACATCACATCTGGGCACGTTCCAAGGCCATACTTCCCTGCAAGGGTGGCTGGGAAATGTATCAGGTTGTATGCCCAGGAAGAAGAGATTTTAGTGAACAGTGAGTATCTATGCCTCAAAAGTCATTCAACAAGCAGATCTAAAGTTCCTGTAAGTTTTGAGCCTCAGAAGTCTTATTAAAACAAGGGGCAAATTGAGGAAGTAATGGTTAAATTTTGGGGATTTGGATTCAGACAGTATTGGGCTAGGTGACCTTGGCAGGTTACTGGCTGCCCAGAGCCACAATTTCCTTATTTGAAAAGTGAAGCTAATAACAGCACAACCTTAAAAGGGTGTTGTGAGGGTTAACAGTTTACAGACTGGTATGTGAAAGATAGAAAGTGTTAAATAAATGATAGTTTTCAAGCTGTTCATGACAACTCCACTTCTCATTTCAAAGCTTCTTTCAATAATAGGAGGGTCGTGCCTTCTGTTGAACATACTGTATAACCCAGGTGTCTTCAAATCTCCTGAATTTCTCAGATGGTTAATTTTGTGTGTTAAATAGAATTATGGTTAATTTTATGTGTCAACATGACTGGGCCATGGAATATCCAGTTATTTGGTCAAACATTATTTGGGGTGTTTCTGTGAGAGTGTTTTTAGGTGAGAGTAACATCTACATTGGTGGATGAAATAAAGCAGACTGCCCTCCCTCATGTGGGTGCCTCATCCAATCAGCTGAAGACTTGAATAGAGTAAAAAGGCTCCCCCAAGGCAGGCAGAATTCTTGCCTAAGTGTCTGAACGGAAACATTGCTCTCCTAGTTCTCAGGCAATGCAGTCTCAGACTGGAACTACACTATTGGCTCTCCTGGATCGCCAGCTTGCCAACTCACCCTGCAGATCCTGGGATTTGTCAGCCTCCATAATCGTGTGAGCCAACTTCTCATAATAAATGTCTTTCTATACATAGGCAACCTATTAGTTCTGTTTCTCTGGGAGAATCCTGACTAATACTCTTTCCCTAACTAAAATGCTGCATACAGTTGGGAGCCCCTGAAACCCATTTTCTTACCAATGTTTAGTAAATGGTCTAGGTTTGGGAGAAGAATAGGGCTATTTTTAATGGGCATTTGTCACTAAACTTTCATTTCTCCTGTATTCTCAATTTTATCACTTACCTTTCCTTAATACTATAGTTTCCACCCTACATTAAATTATTTCTTCATGCCCAAACATCACTTTCCACACTTTTACTAAAGGAAACAGTGTTATGGCCCAGGAAGGGCAGGTGACTCCCAGACAGCATGGATCTAAGTGGCTGGGAGCCAGGGGTCGGGGGAGAATTTTCACTGATTGCACGTCATATCATGAGAGTTTTGAGTCATATGAATTCATCACACTAAAAAAAAAAAAAGGTGGGAAAGAGGTAGATTCTTGCCCATCAAGAAAATCCTTCACAATTTCTTTCTGCTTGTTCTTTAAAATAAATAATTATTTAGAAGATTGCCATTTCCATACAGTTCTAAAAAATCTATTAATATTTAAATATTACAGTAATAAAAACTAGTATTCATTGAGTATTTACTGCTCCAGACTCCACTCTAAGCACTTAATTACTAAGTACTTTGATCCTCAGAATATCTCAAGGAAATATTATAATTAAATATATACTATCTATAATGAATAACAGATATATTATACATATAATAGAATATTATAGTTCAAATTTTACAGAGGAGAAAACTGAAAGTTACAGAGGTTAAGTAACTCACTGAATGTTGAATGTTCACTCCTGGTAAAGCAATAAAATCAGGATTAAAACTTAGGTAGTTTAGCTGTAGAAGTAAGAAATAGAAAAAAATATATACTCTTAAATCTGATGGAGAAGGGGAGGAAAAGGAGGTTATAAGGAAGTGGAGTTATATGATTTTAGGATTGCTGAGAGTGGATGGTCACTAGATACATTCTAAACAGAGGATGAAGTGTATATCAGTTATGGTCACAGAGATTACTATAAAATACAAAAACAAAACCAATCCTTTCAAATTATAAGGAACATAAACAAAGCAAAGGAAACACAAACCATACCCATGAAATACTTTTTTAAAAGAAGCAACAAAAATAGAAATAATAATATAACTATGATGCAAGTAATACCACATATTTATTATATCAACGACTAGAAATTATCTAGAAGTTCTTCTATTAAATTAGAAATTTCATATTGGAATACGATGTCAAACTCCTAAAACAAAATTATTCAAAGTTGAAAAAGAATGGAAAAATACATATCAGGCAAATGCAAACAGAAAGCAGGACTTAAGACCTTAACATCAGACAAGATTCACATAAATTTTAAAAGCATTTTATAATGGAAATTAATATATTTTTAATTTAAGAAAGCAAAATCACAAATCTTACATACATATGTGTTCACTAAAACACATAGAATCAAAATTCGTAAAGCGCAAACTACAAAAAGTACACAGAAATATAGGCTGAAATATATTATTTGTAGAAGACTTAACCTCACTCAGCCTGTGTTAAGACTGCATTATTTGTTCATTACCATTTGTTGCCCCCTCCCATTCATTCTTTCCATCCTTCTCTGTAGGCAGAATATACTTTTTTATCCCATTCACTTAGGGGCTTAACTATGCAATCTGCTTCAAACAAGGGAATGTGGATATGTGACATGCATGTGACATGGACCCCATATCTGAGCATGAACTTTAAATGCACCTGTGTAGTTTAGCCCTGCCTCTCTTGTCCATGCCAGAGCTGGGATAAGGATGAGGTGGGTGAGACAAGGTCTTGCAAGTGCAGGGTGAGATTCTGTGTTTATTTAAAATTTTGGTATTTCATTAATCATGGATTTTTGCATGAATTTTTATTTTTAAAAATATTATATTAGTATATTATTTATCTTGATAACAGAGTGTTTCAGAGTCTGTTGTCAAGACTTGCAGGCAAGGCTTTGCAGGCAAGGCCAGTGTCCCATTGTAGCCCTGGTTCCAGCCCTATACCATGAGAATGGCATGTACTCAGAGCGTGACATCTTCCTCAGCCTCAGGTATGAAATGAGAAGACCTGTGGAGCTGGACTGAGCTGAATCAAGCTGAATCAGTCTAGATTTTGGACTTGCATGGGGCCTGTAGCTCCTTTGTTGTGGCCAATGTCTCCCATTCGGAATGGCTGTATTTATCCAATGCGTGTACCCCCATTGTATCTAGGAAGTAACTAACTTGCTTTTGATTTTACAGGCTTATAGGCGGAAGGGACTAGCCTTGTTTCAGATGAGACTTTGGACTGTGGACTATTGAGTTGATGCTGAAATGAGTTAAGACCTTGGGGAACTGTTGGGAAGGCATGATTGATTTTGAAATGTGAGGACATGAGAGTTGGCAGGGACCAGGGGAGGAATGATATAATTTGGCTCTGTATGGTTTTATCAAGGGTCTCCACTTTTGCGTCTTCCTCATTCTCTCGTTGCCTGCTGCCACCCATGTAAGACGGGACTTGCTCCTCCTTGCCTTCCACCATGATTGTGAGGCTTCCCCAGTCACATGGAACTGTAAGTCCAATTAAACCTCTTCCTTTATAAATTGCCCAGTTTTGGGTATGTCTTTATCTGCAGCGTGAAAATGGACTAATACGTTAAGTTGATACCAGTAGAGTGGGGTGCTTCTGAAAAGATACCTGAAAATGTTTTTCTCAAAAGATCAATATCATTTTATATTTTAATTGATTTTAAAAAGCTTTCCTCTAGGTTGTCTCTGGACAGTTTTAAAAATGACTAAGGCTAATGGGTGTTCCCTCACTTACATGAGAGAAATAAACCAGGAATTTTGGTTTATGAATTACGTTTGTGAATTGTTTCATGCTGAAGGGCACAGAGTTGAAAGGAAATTTTTGGATTCACTTGGGGTGGTCCCTGATTTCTGACAGGAACGTGACTAAACTCTTCCTGAATTGGTGTATTAATTCAAAATAAAAAATCTGTAGGAAAGAAATTCCAAAACTTTCATTTGTATTAACTCAGTTTTGGGTTTCATAACTCTGGCTGTTGGGAAAATGTCTAATTCTCTTAAGGATATAAGCTTCCAACACAGTCAAGATCATTACTTTTATCAAGGAAAACCTAAGTAGCCTAGAGAGTAGAGATCTTATCTTCAAATGTTACAGATAACACCTTGCACAGAACATTACAGATAGTAGATGCCAAATAAATATAGACGCCAATTAAATTGAACTGAACAGCAGGGGTGAAGTTGTTGGGCAGCAAATAACATTACTGACTTGAGACTTCATTGCTGTGTCTTTCTCATTTCCTGACATGAACACTTGGATTCTGTAAAAAATATTTATTCAGAACAAGAACAATGCTGACTTTTCTATGAAGATCATTCAGTGATTCATTCAACAAATATTTGTGGTGCAGGTGCCAGGCACTGTCCCAGGTTCTGAATATTTTCACTGCGTGCTACTGTGTTTTAAATAATAGTGTGCAATCCTAAGAACGTAAACTAACTAAAGGTTTCTGATATGAGAGTTTAATGAGCCCCTGCTCAGGGAGTTTGCTGTGAACCCTTCACTGAATGTGGTCACATTCCCTAACATCACTAATTATGTAATGCCAAGTCCCTTAAGAATATCATTAGGTAACCTGCACTTCCCCATCAAGAATCTTAAAGTGAGGGAGTTAACAGTGGGTTAAGAAAGATAATGTGGTTGCTAGAAAGAATAATAGACCAGGAATTCAGAAACTGAGCTGTGAAGTGCTGTCATCTCTGTCAAGTCACTTAATTCACAGAATCTGTTTCCCTATCTGTAAAATAAAATTAGAAAAATGTTAAAGCGCTCTTTTAGGTTTGATATTCTGTAATCTTGTTAATAGATCTAATTAAGTCTAAATTCTAGGAGGAAGATAAACTCTACATTAAGAGTTTTGGCTCAATTCCTATTAATGGTGCAAAAATTTCTCTTATGTTGTGACATCAAAAAGAAAATACAAATAAACAAAGAAATAAATGTGTATGTAAATATTATTTTAAAGTGGTCACCAAGAGCACCATTTGACAGGTAATTTGACCCTTCAGTGCTTTGTCAAATATACTTCATGATTTAGCTACAGCAGGTATTTCTTCACTTCTCTTTGTAAATTTTTCTTTATCCAGATGGCAGAGGGGTTGAAAAAAGGTGGGGGGAGGGGCTGGCTACTGCATATTTATGTTACTGCTAAAACTTAAATTTTTATTTTTTAAAGTTAGAAGGTTTCCAATTTCGAGGAGTTTAACTTGTAGTTGGATTTTAGATGCTCCTCTGGCTAACGCTGGACATGAAGACAGACAGCAAAGCGTGGGGAGAGAGATCTAGTTTAAGTTCGAGGGAAAAAAATAACAGACGCAACTTAGATAAAAGAATACTACCATCAAAAAAAGGGGGGCTAGAGCCGGCGATGGCCTTGAGGATTAGGACACCTGCCGAGCCTGGAGTAAACAGGTAATGTCAGGCAGGTCCTGGAACCCCGGGAGGCCCAAGTTCTTGCTGCGGGAAGAGGGATTAGCAGAATGATAACGCAGGTCTGTTTGTGTTTTAGGGGTTTTAACATGCATTCTGCAAGTAAGTGACCTATCCAGGTCATTCGATTCAGGCTCAGAAAAAAAACCCCGCAAATTAATATATCTAAATGCTGAGATAGTGACACCTTTTTAAAAAAGTTATACATAAGCATCTTTATCAAAAAGCATTACATTTTAAGGCAAAAATCTGAACTGTCACAGTATCCACCTCACCGAGTTCAGCAGCCCCACCTTGGGTCAGGGCTGCCCCTGCAGCGCGGGCCCCCGAAATGCCCGCACCGCCCACGCCGCCCGCACCGCGCGCACCCAGCCGGGCCAGGGCGAGGGATCCAGGTCTCCCGGTCTCTCAGGGCGCGCGCCCGGGGTCCGGGGGTGGGGGGCGTGGAGGCGGTTCCCTTGGAGCGCCCAATCAGCAGTAAGGCCCGGCGGTGGCGCCAGTGACGTAGACCGCGCTTCCCTCCGCCCCACTGCGGGCCGTCGCTCGGCGCCGTCAGCCACGCGCGCTGCAGCGCGAGGGGAGAGCGAGAAGGAGGGCTTTGGGGCCGACCGGCTGTTGGAGGGCGGCGGGTCGCGGGGAGCGGGGGAGTGAGCATGCGCAGCGGCTCCGGGGAGCGCAGGGGAGGAGGGGCCGGCGCTGAGAGGCGCGCGCGTGCGCGTGCACGAGTGGCCCGCCGGCGGCTGCGGGTGGAGGGGGCGGTTCCTCGAGTGTCGGCGACCCGAGGGCGGGCAGGCGGGCGGCAGGTGCCGCCGCAGCCTCTGGCTGGTCCCGCGTCTCCGTCCTCCGGCGGCGATGAGCTGGGCCCTGTCGGGGGCTGCACCTGCCGGCTGCCCATCAGCACCGGCCTCCTGGCGTGACCTCGGCCTCCTCGCGTGTCCAGTCCCCGCGGCGCGGCGCTGCCCCTGAGAGGGAGCGGCGGCGGCCTCCTCCGCCCCGAGTCCTCGCTCGGGGGCCGCGCGAGGACGGCGCCCGGCCCCCTCCCCTCCTTCCTCCGTCCGCCGTCCTCAATGTCTCCCCGGCGGGGAGGGGGCTGCCTGGGAGACACGCTGAGCGGCCCCCCCACGGAGGCCCTCCGGCTGCAGCAGCAGCAGCGCCCGGCCCGGCGTCCCGCAGCCTCCACCAGCGGCGGCGGCCTGGAGGAGCCGCGCACCCGCCGCCGCCCCCCGAGCCTCGCAGCCGCCGCCGCCGCCCGGCACCCGAGGAGAGGGCGGCGGGCGCCCCTCGGGGAAGATGAAGGCGGAGGGGGGCGACCACTCCATGATCAACCTGTCGGTGCAGCAGGTCCTGAGCCTCTGGGCCCACGGGACGGTGCTGAGGAACCTCACGGGTAATTGACGCGCCTGGGCTGGGGACGGGGATGCGGTCCGCCCCTCTCCTGTCTTCTCCTTCCTCGGGAGGGGACACGCTCCTCGCCGCCCCACCCCCGTGCGCGCCCCGCTCGGAGCTCCAGGTCCCGGCGAGGAAGGTGTTAATCGGAGCCACTCTGCGCGTGTCCCGGGGGCGCCGGCTCCCGCCACCCCCTTCCCTGAGTCGCCAGGGGAGCATCAGCGACCCCCGCTCCTGCCCCGCACGGGGAGAGCTCCCGGTGGCGGCCCGGCCTCTGTAGTACGCGCGGAGTAGCTTTAGTGCTGAGACTTGAGCGCATTTCGCTTTTATTCCATTACCCTCCTCCCCTCCCCCTTCTACACACATCGCTTCTTGCTATTTACATCTTTTTCTGATTTAGTTCTTTTTCTTTCTGGCAAATCTCAAGCCAAATGTAGAACCTAAAATCATTGCCCACAATGGTCGATTTACTTTTTCAACCGCTAATTTTTTGGGCGATGTAGATAACTGAGTAAATTATAGTGGGTCAGGGGCTGAGCTAAGGTCTAGTGCGGTCTAAGCGTGTTAGCTTCATATATCTCCTTCCCCTCCCATTTCCTTTTGTCTGTCTGTCTCTTTCCCTCAGGCCTCCAGCTGCTGCTTCTGAGACATTTGATAATTTTGTGTATTTCCCTTCATTTATTAAGGCTGTCAGTAATTGGCCTTATAACATCAATTTCTATTTGTAAAAGTGAGTGATAAAACACACAATATTTTTATTCAGTCTGTAGATTTGCTTTGTGAAGAAACTTCTGGTTTTGTTATGTGGAAATGCTTACATTATACTTTGAGTTCCGAATTTAAAAATTATTCTCTGAAGTAGAATTTACGAGAAAGAGATTCAGTTGCGATTTGGTGACTCCTCAGTGCCTGCTTTTCAGAGGAAAAAAATCTTAAAAAAATACTCAGAATTTAATTCTTGAAAATGTGTAAGGCAGTTAATTTCAGTAGAACATTAGTATTTCAAAATGCATTTTGTCAAACTGGTTAAAGTGTTGTGAGTATTTTACAAATATAACCTGGGTTCATATATATAACATATATATAAAGTCTGGCATGGTATAGAATACAAACATTCATAGAAGAAAATTTTATGGAATTATATACCACAAAAGACAACTTTAAGGACACTGGTTTCTTCGAATGGAAACTATACAGTTAAAGTAGATTCTGGATTGCTTCATGCTATCCTCACTTTTAAGCTGTGGTTATTTAACTTGAAACAGACTGACTTTACATGATGATTGCCGGTAAGGAATATATTGTTATAATTCTGGAAAACTAAATGGACATAAAGACCATCTCATGATTCAGTTGAATTTAGAGGTAGACTGCTTTATCTTACTTATGATTTTGCTTGCATTTATCCACTGTTTGGTATTTGAACTGTACCAGTTTTTGTTTAAGTGAAATGAAAAGTAGGGACTTAACATATATTTGTGCAGGCATACCTTGGAAAGATTGCAGGTTTGGTTCCAGAACACCACAATAAAGCAAATATTGCAATAAAGTGAGCCAAATGAATTTTTTGTTTTCCTAGTGCATGTAAAAGTTACATTTTACCTGTAGTCTTTAAATGTGAAATAGCATTATGTCTGAAAAAAAAGTACAGACGTTAATTTAAAAATACTTTATTGCTGAAAAATTGCTAACGATCATCTGAGCCTTCAGCAAGGACGTTATCTTTTTTCTGGTAGAGGGTCTTGTCTTTGTGTTGATGACTGCTGACTGATCAAGGTGATGATTGCTGGAGATTGGGATGATGGCAGTTTTCTTAAAACAGCAATGAAGTTTGCCACTAAGGAAGAGCAATAGACTCTTCCTTTCATGAAAGATTTCTCTGTAGCATGGGATGCTGTTGGGTAGCATTTTATCCACAGTAGAACTTTCAAAATTGGAGTCAGTCCTTTCAAACCCTGCTGCGGCTTTATCAACCGAGTTTATCTAATAGTCTAAATCCTTTGTTGTCATTTCCACGGTGTTCACATGATCTTCACCAGGAGTAGATTGCATCTCAAGAAACCACTTTCTTTGCTCATCCATAAGAAGCAACTCCTCATCCATTCAAACTTTATCATGAGATTGCAACAATTCAGTCACATCTTCAGGCTCCACTTCTAATTCTAGTTCTCTTGCTATTTCGACCACACCTATGGTTACTTCCTCCACTAAAGTGTTGATCCCCTCAAAGTCATCCATGAGGAATGGAGTCAATTGCTTTCCAACTCCTATGAAAGTTGATATTTGGACCTCTTCTCATGAGTCACGATTGTTCTTAAGGGCATCTGGAATGGTGACTCCTTTCCAGAAGGTTTTCAATTTCCTTTGCCCAGGTCCATCAGAGGAATCACTATCTCTGGCAGTTTTAGCCTTCTTACACAGTGTATTTCTTAAATAATAAGACTAGAAAGTCAAAATTACTCTTTGATCCATGGTCTGCAGAATGGATGTTGTGTTAGCAGTCATGAAAACAACATTGATCTACTTGGACATCTCCATCACAGCTCTTGGTTGACCAGGTACATTGTCATTGAAGAAAATACTCATTAAAATGAAAGGAATCTTTTTTTTTTCTGAGCAGTTCTCAACAGTGGGCTTCACATATTCAGTAGGCCGTGCTGTAAACTGATGTACTGTCATCCAGGCTTTTTTGTTTCATTTATAGAGCACAGCCAGGGTAGATTTAGCATAATTCTCAAGGGCGCCAGAATGGTAAATGAGCATTGGCTTTAATATAAAGTCACCAGCTGCATTAGCTCCTAAGAAGAGTCAGCCTGTCCTTTGAAGCTTGGAAGTCAGGGATTGACTTCTCTCTAGCTGTGCAAGTCCTAAATGGCATCTTCTTCTGATATAAGGCTGTTTAATCTACATGGAATATCTGTTGTTTGGGGTAGCCACCTTCATCAGTTAGCTAGATCTTCTGGATAATTTGTGCTTCTACATCAGCATTTGCTGCTTCACCTTGCACTTTTATGTTATAGAGGTGTCTTTTGTTAAACCTAAAGAACTGACATCTGCTAGTATCAAACTTTCTTTTGCAGCTTTCTCACATCCCAGCCTGCATGGAATTGAAGAGAGTTGGGGTCTTTCTCTGGGTTAGGCTTTGGCTTAGGGGAGTGTTGTAGCTGGTTTCATCTTCTATTTAGACCACTCAAACTTTCTTCATATCAGAGAGCAGTCTGTTTTGCTTTCTTATGATTTGTGTGTTCACTAGTGTAACACTTTTAATTTCCTTTAAGAATTTTTCTTTGCATTTGCAACTTGGCTGTTTGGTACGAGAGGCCTAGCTTTCAGCCTAACTCATCTTTGAACGTGCCTTCCTCATTAAGCTTTATCATCTCTAGCACTTGATTTAAAGTGAGATATCTGACTCTTTTTTTCACTTGAACACTCAGAGGCCAATGTAGGATTATTAGTTGGCCTGATTTCAATATTGTTGTATCTCAGGGAATAGGGAAACCCGAGGAGAGGGAGAGAGACTGAGGAATGGCTGGTTGGTGGAGCAGTGAGAACACACAAGATTTATCGAGTAAATTATCGAGTAAAATAGTAACATCAGAGATCACTTATCACAGATCACTATAATAATAAAATACAATAATAAAATAATAATAAGATAATAAAATTTGAAATATTGTTAGAATTACCAAAATGTGACACAAAGTGAGCCCATGCTGTTGGAAAAATGGTACTGATAGACTTGCTTGACACAGAGTTGCCTCAAACTTACCATTTGTAAAAGCCAAAATAAAGTGAAGTACAATAAAACAAGGTATGCCTGTAGATATTAATCACTGGATTAGCTCATCAAAGGGTTTTTAGAGAAAGTTAGCTTTGGGAGCCATAGAGTAAATGTAAATGTAACTTAACTCCTGGCCAGCTTCAACAATATTTTTAAATAAGTAAGATTCTAATGATTATAATTGCCTCCAGTTCTGCAAGTCAACCATTAAGCTGATAATAGTAGTTATTCATCCAGGGTTAGCTCCAATATGTCTTTCAATATGATCTTAATACTTGCCAGTTGCTCATTGGACCTTGCCATTTCATAAAGGATATGCCGAACATCCCAAACTAGGACTGAGGCGGGACTGAGGACCATGGGAACCTCTACTAGGAAATAACTACTGTCTGAATATGTGAAATTCTAGGCGTCAGGATAAAAATGCAGAAAGAAACAGATTAGAAATATGTTTCACTAGTGGTAGAGTGTACCACGTTAGGAACCACATCTCTTCTCAACAGTGGCAGTCTATAAGTGATAATATTCTGATGGGATTCATTGTGGCCTTCTCCATGCCAGTGACCTTAGTGATTTGGTGTGTATCTTAATCATTAGTTAACAGATGCTGCCTACAGTGCCATTTACAACTTTGTCTGCTCAAAAGAGGCGAGTAAACACAACTTCTGAAACATCTGTCATTTGTTGAATGGCCGCTGTGTGTTAGGCACTTTACATATATTATTTCTAATCTTCAGAATAACTCTTCAAAGTACATTTGAAAGGAAACTCAGAGAGGTAAATTAAATTGTCCCAAATCTTATAGCTAGTATATGACTGAGCTGGGCTTTAGACCCAAGTCTTTGCCTCTAGACTCCTCTTTCTTCTTTACCATGCTACTTCAGCTACTTCCTCCTTACTTTCTTCACGCAAAATTAATTTCTTGCTTCATCTTGCTACTTCTGCTCTTTGTACATATTTTTATTATGTTTTTCAATTACGTTATAATTTGTATTTATCTCTTCTAGACTGTGAGCTTTTTGAGGGTCAGTCCATTGCCTCACCTTTGAATTCTTATACCCTAGCATTATAGTACCTGGCACGTAGTAAATGATAAATATATGTTTATTGAGATGAATTTTTAAAATTTTAACAGTTGCTTGATTTAAACATTCTATATTGCATTGTTTCTCATCTGCATCTCTTGGAGTGAATATGCTGTTAAGGAAGAATGAAGTGTTTAAGCAACTCATATAAATCATTTTTATACATACCTTTAAAACATGCAAATGCTTATTGAGAGTAGTTTTCTGTGTTGGGTATAATGCTTTCATATATTTTGTTTAATCTTTTAGGCAATCCTGAGAGATTATTGTTCTTATTTTACAGATTCAGATACTGAAGCAAAGAGTAACTTGCTTAGATCTGATAGCTAATAGTGAAAAAGTCATTATCTTTTTTCATAATATGATAACACATATGTTAACTCAGAAGGCATTTTTTCGTCATCATAAACTTGGAAATGAAACTAATAGAAAGGAGCATAGTCTAGAACCAGTACTACTTGGATTTAAGAAATAACTGTGTGAAGGATTTGCACAAATTTGCTTAATAGGCATTCTGATTAATTGGATACCAAATGAAAGGGAAATATGCTGTCACTAGTGTTTTTTTCCCATGTACAAAGAGATGTGATGTGATTTTTCACCTTGTGTATTATCCCAATAGGTGAAGTGGGAAAATATACTGACCTTTTTATCTTAGAGACTGACCTCTAGAAAGTAGTCTTGTTTATATATTACTTTGATAAAAATAAATTCTTAAAAAGTAATAATGAGAACTACAAACATCTTAACATTTTACAGCCAGAACGACTTAATTTTAGAAATATTGAAATATCACTCCATCAGTGAAGTGACATGGCTGAGATCAGTTATTTAATGACAGAGGCAGGACTGGAACCAGAGTTTCCTGGACCTTTGTTCTCTGCCTTTCCTTTTTCTCCTACATAGCTTGTTAACTCAGGCAGGTCGAGAGAGAATAAATATTACGGTACAGGTTGAACATTCCTAATCTGAAATTTTGAAATTCAAAATGCTCCAAAATCCTAAACTTTTTGAGCAACATGACACTCAAAGGAAATACTAGAACATTTCAGATTTCGGATTTTCAGGTTAAGGATGCTGAGTCAGTAAATAGCATGAAAATATTCCAAAATCTGAAGTCTGAAATCCTTCTGGTCTCAAGCATTTCAGATAAGGGATATTCAACCTGTACTTAAAAGTACCCTGGTAAGTGTTTGCATCAGTGAGCCTGAAGATGTATGAATGGAACTAATTTGTCCAGAAAATAAAATATACTGGAAAATGTAATATATTAGGCTTTCTAACATTTTAAGTTGCCATTGCCCTTGTAAAAGCTAGTGATCCATATTCATTATCTAGCCAGTTTTAGAACTCCTACCAAGTTCAGCCTGCTATTTATTTCCCCTACCTTGGAAGACACTTGTATGGGGATTCCATGTAGAGCATACTAATCCCTCGAAACCCCGTATCTGTCACTTAATAACCATTGCCAAAATTCTCTTTCTGTACATATCACTTCTTTAAGTGTGTTTTTCACAGGATTCCTAAATTGTTTAACTGTGTCAGTTATATGCTTCTGAAGTAGAGAGATAAATAGCTTCCTTTCTTTTTCAAATAGATTTTCTTTCTTTGAATATATTCTAAATTCCCAACCCCAATCTAAAATGAGAGTCAATATTGTATATACAGTTTTTTAGGTAACTTGACTTTTAAAAAATCTACAATTAAATGTTTTTTTTTTGGCTTTACTTTTATTTTCTTTAACTATTTTGGCTTCCATCTTAGTGTTCTGACCCAAATTTGGTTGCTAAGAGTTTAGAGAAGAATTTTTATTTAGAAAAGGGCAGGGTCTGTAAATCCCAGTATAAATGCAAAACTTGGCTGGTGTTAGGAAAGGGATAATTGGTCCCTGGGAAAAAGATGAGGGCTGCTTCAGGCTGGTCTCTCTGTGTCAGCAGCAAATGTAGGGGCAGGTGTTCCCTTCTTTTTATTGGTAATAAGCATTGGGAGGCTGGGAATTCAACCTGGAATGAAGGTTAAAAGGCTTCTCTCTCTCTCTCTCTGTGTGTGTGTGTGTGTGTGTGTGTGTGTGTAGTACTAGTAGTAAGTAGTAGTAGTAGTAGTAGTCCCGTTTATTCAAAGGCAATATGTTCCAAAACCCCCAGTGGGTGCCTGAAACCATGGATATTTCTGAACCCCATATATACAGTCATGTGCCATGTAACTTTCCAGTCAAAGAAGGACCTCATGTGATGATGGTCCCATAAGATTATAATGGAGCTAAAAAAATTCTGTCACCTACTGAGATCATGGCCGTCCTAATGTCATAGCGCAACACGTTACTCACGTGTTTATGGTGATGCTGGTGTCAACAGACCTACTGTACTGCCTGTTGTATAAAAGTAGAGCATATATAGTTATGTACAGTACATAATACTTGATAACAACTGTGTTACTGGCTTATGTATTTACTGTACTAGATTTTTTATCATTATTTTAGAATGTACCCCTACTTGTTTAAAAAAAAAAGCTGAATCCCAGCACTTTGGGAGGCCGAGGCAGGTGGATCACGAGGTCAGGAGATCGAGACCATCCTGGCTAACATGGTGAAACCCTGTGTCTACTAAAAAAAAAATACAAAAAATTAGCCGGGCGTGGTGGCGGGCGCCTATAGTCCCAGCTACTTGGGAGGCTGAGGCAGGAGAATGGCATGAACCTGGGAGGCAGAGCTTGCAGTGAGCCGAGATTGCACCAGTGCACTCCAGCTTGGGCAACAGAGCGAGACTCCGTCTTTAAAAAAAAAAAAAAAAAAAAAAAGGCAAGCTGTAAAACAGCCTCAGGCAGATCCTTCAGGAGCCATTCCAGAAGAAGACGTTGTTACCTTAGGAGATGCCAGCTCCCTGCCTGTCATTGCCCCTGAAGACTTTCCATGGGACAAAGTGTGGAGGTGGAAGACAGTGATATTGATGATCCTGACCCTGTGTAGGCCTAGGCTAATATGTATGTTTGGGTCTTAGTTTTTAACAATTTTTTTTTAATTTTAGAAGTAGAAAAAGTTTATAAAATTAAGAATATAAAGTATTTTTCATACAGCTGTACAATGTATTTGTGTTTTAAGCTAAATGTTATTAGAAAATAGTTAAAAAGTTAAAACTTAAAAGTTTATAAAGTAAAAAAGTTACAGTAAGCTAAGGTTAATTATTGCAGAACAAAAAATATTTTAAAAATAAATTTAGTGTAGCCTGTGTATAGTGTTTATAAAGTCTACAGCAGTGTACAGTAATGTCTGAGGCCTTCACATTCACTCACAGTTTCACCTGGAGCAACTTCCAGGCCTGCAAGCTCTATTCATGATAACTTCCCCATACAGATATTCATTTTTTAATCTTTTATGCTATATTTTTACTGAACTTTTTTATGTTTAGAGACACAAATACTTCCCATTGTGTTACAATTGCCTGCAGTATTGAGTAAAGTAACATGCTATACAGGTTTGTTGCCTAGGAGCAATAGGCTATACCATATAGCCTAAATGGAATATATGTTAGCTTATACCATCTAGGTTTGTGTAGGTACACTGTATAATATTTGCACAATAATGAAATGGCCAAATGACACATTTCTCAGAATGTATCCCCGTCATTAGGCAACACATGCCTGTACTATGTTTTTTCCTACACATGCATACCTGTGATAAAGTTTAACTTAGAACTTAGGCACAGTCAGAGATTAACAACAACAAATACTGTAGTAAAAGTTATATGAATGCGGTCTCTCGCTCTCAAAATATTGTATTGTACTATACTTATCTATGTTCAGACAATATTCGATAGTGGGTAACTGTAATTGCAGAAAGTGAAACTGCAGATAAACGAAGAGTATTGTATATATGTATATTTAGGATATGTATACACATGCACATATACATACTACATCATAGTTCCCTTTTAGGCATTATAGTTGCTAAGCCATTTTTGTTTCAATATTTAGTGTCAGTCAAAGAAAAAATAAAAGAAAGTGAATATTTAGTATATATATTTGGAATTGTTCACATTCATACTGGTATAGTCAGCACCTTCCTTCAATAGCGTTCCCAAGAAGGCATGCTTCTCTTGGGGTTACTCTGTATTCTAGCTTACCATTAGGTTAAGTTCCTCTTCCTAAATGCTGTATTATAGGAGGTGAGCTTAAGTAGAAAAAATTACTTCAAATGTCTACTTAGAGTTATTTATGTTTTGTAAATGTGCCCTAAAGATATATGCTACTTTTCAGTATTTGTGTCAGACCTCCATTTTACTTTTTTAAAAAATGTGAAAAGTCCTTACCCTTGATAGGTACAGAGTCAATTAATAAGTGCCAGTATGATATGGCCTTCATAGGATTTAACTTCTTAGGAGGCTTACCTGTATATCTTATTGAGAATGAAAATGCTATAATTTTTAAAAACCGAAATTGTCATTAGGGATTTTTTTTTGTTTTTACCATTTGTCATTAAGTTTTTATTTTCTTAATTTCTGTCTCATTATTTTTGAATCATAAATTCATATCCTCTAGCAATACCAAGTCCAAGGTCCAGATGACATTTCTTCGATCTGAACCATTTTCTGGATATGTCTTGGGACTGCTTGAGTTATAATTTTGATTCTTTAATATTAACTATGATAATAAAATGTATTTATCTTTGTTTAGTGTTTGAAAGGAAGGTCTAAGAAAGTAAGATAGTTCATGAAGAGGAGTCACAATTTCTAGGGATATGTTTTCTGTAGAAAAGAAACCTAAACAGAAGAGAGAGGAGGTAGGGATGGGGACAAGGAATTGAAACTAAGGAAGGAAATTGGCAACAAAAGCCAAAATTGAGAAATGGGATCTCTAATTAAACTAAAGAGCTTCTGCACAGCAAAAGAAACTACCATCAGACTGAACAGGCAACCTACAGAATGGGAGAGAATTTTTGCAATCTACCCATCTGACAAAGGGCTAATATCTAGAATCTGCAAAGACCTTAAACAAATTTACAAGAAAAAAACCCATCAAAAAGTGGGCAAAGGATATGAACAGACACTTCTCAGAAGAAGACATTTATGCAGCCAACAGACACAAGAAAAAATGCTCATCATCGCTGGCCATCAGAGAAATGCAAATCAAAACCACAATGAGATACCATCCCACACCAGTTAGAATGGCGATCATTAAAAAGTCAGGAAACAACAGGTGCTGGAGAGGATGTGGAGAAATAGGAACACTTTTACACTGTTGGTGGGACTGTAAACTAGTTCAACCATTGTGGAAAACTGTGGCGATTCCTCAGGGATCTAGAACTAGAAATACCATTTGACCCAGCCATCCCATTACTGGTGTATATCCAAAGGATTATAAATCATGCTGCTATAAAGAGACATGCACACGTATGTTTATTGTGGCACTATTCATAATAGCAAAGACTTGGAACCAACCCACATGTCCATCAATGATAGACTGGATTAAGAAAATGTGGCACATATACACCATGGAATACTATGCAGCCATAAAAAAGGATGAGTTCATGTCCTTTGTAGGGACATGGATGAAGCTGGAAACCATCATTCTGAGCAAACTGTCGCAAGGACAGAAAACCAAAGATCGCGTGCTCTCACTCATAGGTGGGAATTGGAACAATGAAAACACTTGGACACAGGGTGGAGAACATCACACACTGGGGTCTGTCATGGGGTGGGGGGAAGGGGGAGGGATAGCATTAGGAGATATACCTAACATAAATGACGAGTTAATGGGTGCAGCATACCAACATGGCATATGTATACATATGTAACAAACCTGCACGTTGTGCACATGTACCCTAGAACTTAAAGTATAATAATAATAAAAAAAGAGTGGTCAGAGGTAAGAGGAGAGCCCAGAGAGTGTAGCATGTTGAACTTATTGTAGTATCAGATGAATAAGTCTACTGATGGCTATATTTATTGAAACCTCACTGTGTATCAGACCCTATATAAAGCATTTTGCATGCATCTCATTTTCTATAAAGTGAGCGTATAAATTTATTTAAAATATGTGATATCAGGTGTGATAGGTTAATTTTTTATTTTAAATGACTAACTACATGAACAGTAAAATAATCATAGAATAAACAGTGGCAGTACCAACACATTTAAAAGAAGCCTCAGGCCAGGCACGGTGGCTCACGCCTGTAATCCCAGCACTTTGGGAGGCAGAGGTGGGTGGATCACGAGGTCAGGAGATCGAGACCATCCTGGCTAACATGGTGAAACCCCGTCTCTACTAAAAATACAAAAAGTTAGCCAGGCGTAGTGGCGGGCACCTATAGTCCCAGCTACTCGGGAGGCTGAGGCAGGAGAATGGCATGAACCCTGGAGGCGGAGCTTGCAGCGAGCCGAGATGGCGCCACTGCACTCCAGCCTGGGCGACAGAGCGAGACTCCGTCTCAAAAAAAAAAAAAGAAAAAAGAGGCCTCATTAGATTGTCACATTCCATCTCATGACTTTGGCTAAGTAGATTAAGCATTGAAAGAAAAAGATTTTTTTCACCAAACTTTATGCAAATAGGAAGAACACAATTTCTTACTGGAGTCCAGTTGCTTGTGTTATGATAATCATGGAATATAATCTAAGAGCATATATCTACTTGTTGTAGTAGGACTTGAAAAAAATGAAAATAGCTTTGAGGAATGTAGGTTACTAGATCAATTAACATTAGCTTATTAACATACTCCATTACTCCCCTTCATTTGGTATGTTATCCCATATACTTACATGTACATCAATTTTTCTAACTTTTTATAAATAAAGACGGGGTCTCGCTGTGTTGCCCAGGCTGGTCTCAAACTCCTGGACTCAAGCAGTCTGCCCACCTTGGCCTCCCAAAATGCTAGGATTACAGGCACGAGCCACAGTGCCCTGCCTCTAATTTTTTTCATAATCCTGTCGTGGCTTATATAATTTTTTTTTTTTTTTTGAAGCAGAGTCTCACTTTGTCACCCAGGCTGGAGTGCTGTGGCGCAGTCTTGGCTCACTGCAACCTGTGCCTCCTGAGTTCAAGCGATTCTCTTGCTTCCGCCCCCAAGTAGCTGGGATTATACAGGTGCCCACCACCATGCCCAGCTAAGTTTTTTTATTTAGTAGAGATGGGGTTTCACCATGTTGGTCAGGCTGGTCTCGAACTCCTGACCTCAGGTGATCCACCCGCCTCAGCCTCCCAAAGTGCTGGGATTACAGGCATGAGCCACTGTGCCCAGCCAATTTCTTTTTTTTTTAGCCAACGCTTTACCCTGACGGATTGTATGATTCTTATATAAAAAAACGTATACCCAGGGTTTTGGTACTAAGGAAGGAAAGTGATGTATTTCCTTCTTAGAAATTTTACTTTTAGTAGTTAACATTTCTTTAACACCTTTTAATGTGCTTGGCATTGTTCTAAGAATGTTACATGTATTATTTCATTTGAGCCTCACAATAATCCCACGAGGTAGACACCATTATTAATTCAGTTTGTAAAAGTGAGGAAACAGGCAGAGATTATTTTGCCCTTGCTTACGGAGTGTCTAAGCCATGACTTGAAAAATTACCACTCAACTGCAGTTCAGTTGAGCAAACATTTGAGTAACTTTACCATGGACATGGTGCTGTCAGAGATACAAAGATAAATACATAGCGACTATTTTCAAGAAGCTTATATTCTTGAGTATTAACTTATACATCTTTGTATTAGTTATCTATTGCTGAATGACATTACCCCCAAATTTAGTAGCTTAACACAAGACACATTTATTTTCTCATACAGTCTCTGATGGTCAGGAATGCTGGTTCTGGCTCAGGGTCTTACAGTGTCCAGTCAAGCTGTCAGCCAGGACTACTGCATTCTCTGCAGACTTGTCTAGGGCTGGGGGTTCAGCTCCCAGGGGCATTCATGTGGCTCTTGGCAGGTGGTGGGAGGCCTTCTCCATAGGGCTACTCACAACTGTTTTTTTCAGAATGAGAGATCACACACACATAGACACAAACACACAGTAAGAGAAACCAAAACAGAAGCCACAGTCTTTGATAGCCTAATCTTGGAAGTGATATACCATCATGTCTGCTGTATTCTATTGGTCATACACAGACCAGCTCTGGAACATTGTGCGAGCAGACTGCACAAGGGTGTGGTAGGGACTCTTGAAGGCCTGCTGGATGCTGGCTAAGACAGTCTTAAAGGTGGGTATGGGGAGAAAGGAATGAGGCTAAGGGAAGACTAGGGGCATCATAGCAGGTGAGGGAATGAAGTGTCTGTAAAAACAAGGTGATTAGAAAAAGCAGAAAACTGTCTCGATATGTAAAATCATGTTTAAATAGCACAGTCTAGCATTTTCAAGGATTAATCCTGATATTTCTTGATTATAAGTTATGTGCCAGTCTCTGTGGTAAACACTGATGAACAAAAGTGAAAATGTCAGTCATTATCCATAAGGAGCTCAGTGATCTAGAGAAGCTAACCTTTAGATTAAGTAATTCTTTTGTGGCTTGTTGAGTTCAGGAAGAACCAGGCAATGGAACTGTGAAGACAGCACAAGAAGAGGTTAAGAGTGGAGCAGGAACCTGTTCATGGGAGGGTAGAGAGGCAGGAGAGGTGAACTGCCTATGGGTTGGTACTACCAGGACATGATTATGTTGCTGCTCTTGGGTGCCTTGGAAAGCAAAGATGTTTTCATCAGTAATATGAAACTGGATTTTCATTATACAGTTTTTTCCTTCTGTCACTCCCTACCATGAATTACGTGAATCTGTCATGGTTTCCAGGCCTGCGTATCAGAATCACCTGGAACTGTTCATACAGATCCATGGCTCCAGTCGATAAATGTGGAATTAGGATCTTAGAACAAGGCCTAGGATGCTGCCTTGTAAACCAACTCTTCAGGAGATTTTGTTATTGAGAGCTTAGTGGTTGGGAACACCCGATTTTTTTAAAATTATTTTTTGTGATCAATTTATAGCTATCTTAACGATGTATAATAGTTAATATGGGAGATTTGGACTTATTAAAATTTCAGTATAAATGACTCACTTATTTCCAAGAGCATATGATAACCCAGATTTTTTTTAAAGTGACTTGTCTTTTAACAGATTATATTAAATTTATCTTTTGAGAATGTTTTCTTCATTTGTATGCAGTATTAGCCATAGAAAATTATCCTTACTAAATTATAATACAGTTATCCCTGAGTGTCGTCATCCAAAAGACCACTAGGCTGGCTAAATAGTAGAAAGGATAGTTTTATCAGCAATATCAATTTGCAAACCAGGAAGAGACAGTCTCTGCCATGTGCATGTGCAGAAAGCACTGTCTCTTCATAGAAGGGAAGTTGAGGTTGGGTTTTATTGCCTCTCAGAGTTTGTATTACACAATAGAGTCATACATATTCAGCAGGTTTGGGGGAAAAGCTATACATATTTATGAGAGGAGCTGAGTGCATGCTCAGTGGGTAAACATGGGTAACATATATTCTCTGTTTACTTTGGGGCAAGGTTTTAGCATTAAAATGAGGTAGAATTTGACTGTGTCAGAAGGTGAACTATGGGATGCAAAGGCAGTCTGTGCACAGTCTCTATGGTATAGTATGACTGGTAGAGACTGGCTTAAGGTCTACAATTGCTTATCAGAAAAGAACGTTTATAAGGCTGGTCCTGTGTCTAATCAGAGTTGTGGTCTGGGTTGTAAATCAGTAAGGGGTGGTCTGATAGCTCCTATTGTCAGGGAGTTTAGAGCCATAGGACTTTAGAAATTCGCCATGCCGCCTGGGCCCTGAACCCTTGACCTGTAGGTAACTTTGCTTCCTTAATCTTAGTTTCGGTCTTAGTTGATAAAGAGGTGTCTATTTTGATCTCAAAGTATATATGGGGGATTGATTCTAGGACCGCTGCATATACCAAAATCCTGCAGTGGCCCTGCAGAACCCATGTATGTGAAAAGTCGAACCTCCCTGTAGGTGGGTTTTGCATCCTTAGAATATTTTTGCTCCATGTTTAATTGAAAAACAAAAATCCACATGTATGTTGGACCCATGCACTGCAAACCTGCATTGTTCAAGGGTCTACTGTATCTTAAAAATTCTAAACATTTTAGTTATATTAAATCTGAAGTATATAGGAGAATCAAACATTAAAAATGTTTATGTAAATATGTTAGGTGAGCAGCTATTGGAATTTCCACCTCCCTTCTTGGATAATTGGGGTTCTGCTAAATTTTTTTCTAAAAATAAAGATTTGAAAGAAGTAATAGGATCCTTGAATGTATGAGTCAAAAAATTTTTTAGCCTCAACTTCTACTAGCTAGTTTTTTTTACTTTAGACAAGTCATGTATTTCCCAGGCCTGTTTCCTCACTTATAATACTATCTAATGTAAATAGTTTTCATATTGATTAAGGGAGAGCTGATCTAGAAATTTTATGAGTTAAGAAAAGTTTAGAGGTTTTACTAGGATTTAAGAAAAAATGTATGCATTTGCACATAAACTTGTTTCTTTAATCTTTCAAGTTAAGCAACTTTCTTTTTCAAGTGGGACTTCTTCAGACTTTTAATATACTTATTTGTAGAGTAAGGTTTAGAACCAAGAAAATCTTTGCTCTCTGCACACCTCTGACCTCTTAGACTTAGGCCTTCTTGAAATTTGGTTTAGGAAACTTGATTCAGTATTTAAAGATTCCTTCCAGTTATGAAATTATCTCTCTCTCTCTTTTAATCCCAGTACAGCATAATTACTTCCTTACAGTTAGTCTGAATGCTATTTAAGGTGTGATTACCGTGACTTGACTTTGCATTATTTGCAGTTTCCCTGGTTATGCTTGTATTTCCTGATCGGTCATTCCTTTGGTTACCTATTTATATTTAGTTTCAGGAATGTATTATATTGAGAATTTCATTACAAGTTATGCTCGTTGGTGTAAAAAGTTTAATTTTCAGTATTTAGTATAAATATCCCATGGAAATGTTATATTATGAGATTGTAAAACATTTTATCCTTCATGGAGAAGGTTTTTTTAGGTTGGTGATTCAAACAAACATGAATCAAAAAATGTTTTTTTGTATGATACATACAATTTAAGATACTTGAGGGCACACAATAACAATTAAAACCATTGTATGGTTACTGTTATAATTTCATACTAGATTCAGATTTTGACATTTAATCCTTACACTTTTTATCTGAGTAAAAATCACTGGAATTATAATTGATTAATTACTCAGTTAATCAGTTATGGGGAAGAACAAATTGAATGGCATCTTTTAGGAAGACAGTGCTGTGGCTTAAATATAGAGCAATTTTTGAACTATTTTAAATAGCCTTAACCTGATTTCTTTAAAGCAAATGATATTTTGATTGGTTTTAATTAAAAACCTGTTTTTCTAAGAATTGTCTTCTGTTTAATTATGGGTATTGTTATTTACAGTTTGAAATTATATAATTAGCAAGCAAAAGGGTAATTTGGTTTAAGTGGCTAATAAACAGTATTGCCATGAATTTTAAGATGGGCACTATGTTAAAGCAGCTCTTGAAGGTGTCACAATTAAGTTTAAAAGATAATGTTTCTGCTCTCTCTTAAGAGGCAAAAGTAGGAAACTATTAAGTATCTACAGTAGCTTTAACTTATGTATTAAATGTGGTTGCCAGTTGATAAATACAATTTATTTTTAAGTCTGGTTGAAATGTTAGCGTGATTAAAAATAAGAAGAAAATGTCTTTTATGTTTACCTTCATTTTAGCCTCCTTTGTTGATTATTTCTTGGTGTAAAGTTTGCATCTGGTATCATAATCCTGTCTAAGGAGCTTCCTTCAATATATTTTGTAGCATAGATCTTCTGGCAGTTGATTCTCTGAGCTTTTTTCTTTCTGACAAATAAATGTTCATTTCACCTTTAGTTTTGAAAGACATTTCTGTTGAATATAGATTTCTGTCTTTATAGTTTTTTTTTCCCCTTTCAGTATTTTAAAGATGTCACTCTATTGTCTTCTGGCTCGGAAATTTCTGATAAGAAGTTTCCTTTACTTTTTATATTTGTTCCACTGTTTGTAATATGTCTTTTAACCTCTGACTACCCTCAGTATTTTCCCTTTATCTTTGGTTTTCACGCATTTCACTATGATGTGTCTAGGTATGTGTGTGCGTGGTTTATTTTTGTTTTGTTGTTTTTTGGTTCTTGGAAGTGGGAGGTATTTATCTTAGGATTCTGTGAGAGTCTTGGATTTGTGGTTTGATGACTTTTATTATTTTTGAAAAATTTTCAGCATCTTTCCCTTCAAATATCTTTTCTTCTCCATTGTCTCTTTCTTATTCTGGACTCCAATTACATATATGTTAAACCATTTGAAATTGTGCCATATCTTTTTTTCTAAACTTCTAGCATTTTCATTTGGCTCTCAGAATTTCCATCTCTACTGAAATTCCCAATCTGTTCATGTGTGTTGTCTGCTTCTTCCACTAGAGACTTTAACATATTAACAATAATTATTATAAAGTCTCTGTCTGGTTATTCTACAAACTGGGCCATCTCTGACTCTGGTTCTGTAGATTGCTTTATCTCTCAACAGTGAGTTGTTTTTCCTGTTTTTGAGTGCTTCTTTTAATTTTTTGATTGAAAAAGTCTCACTAAAGACTGAGGTACAAGGCCGGGCGCGGTGGCTCACGCCTGTAATCCCAGCACTTTGGGAGGCCGAGGCGGGCGGATCACGAGGTCAGGAGATCGAGACCATCCTGGCTAACACGGTGAAACCCCGTCTCTACTAAAAATACAAAAAATTAGCCGGGCGTGGTGGCGGGCGCCTGTAGTCCCAGCTACTCGGGAGGCTGAGGCAGGAGAATGGCGTGAACCCGGGAGGCGGAGCTTGCAGTGAGCCGAGATCGCGCCACTGCACTCCAGCCTGGGCGACAGAGCGAGACTCCGTCTCAAAAAAAAAAAAAAAAAAAAAAAAAAGACTGAGGTACATCGTGTTTATGTCTGGAGATGGTCTGTTGCTTCCGTTAGACCAATAGTGAGAATTGATTTAATCTACTTAGGAGTTGAGCTGAATTTGAATTTTGTTGTTGTGGTTACCTTCAGTGCACTGCACGCTTCACATTCTGTAAGGTTGCTGTTGTTGCCTTGTGCTTAGGGTGGGAGCTCTGTACTGCAGGGTTATTCTCAGTGGCAATGCTCCATTGTAGCTTTTAGCCATTTCTTCACAACTATGCCTCAAAAGGGGTCTCTCTCCACACACTAGCCTCCCCCCAGTGGTGGAATGCTGATGCTTGTTACTTGCTGCTAGGCTCCTGAGGGGAGCTGTCCTGTTTCTGTGTTAGGCATGCTCTGTGTATGGGGATCTCAGGAGGTGGGGCTTTGTCAGCATTCCTGCCTTTCTGAACCATGGTGGCCAAACTCTTCTTACATTTGTGATTGTTCTTAGGAGTTTCTCGTCCTTCCATCGGCAGTAACAGACCTCTGCTTGGAATTGGGTCCTGGGTCCTGGATGGTTTTCTGCTTCTCTCCCAGGAATAGAGGTTTTATTCTTCTACCCTTCCCTAAACTGGAGTTCTACTAGAGCTTTGCCTGTCCCTTTAGGGTGACAGGATTTGCTGCCCTCCCCTAATGGCTAAGGGTTTTGCCTTGAATAAGAGAAGGGTCGCAAGAAACAAGATTTCTGTGTTTCCCTAGCAGTCACCTCCCGCAGGCCTATACCACCAGTGGTGGCTCTCTCCAGTCTCCAGCCTATGATCCAGTCTTTCCAGGGAGCACTCAGTAGAGACCTGTGGAAAAGCACTTGCAAGCGAGTGTGCATTTGTGTCTGTCACTTGTGTCATTTACTCAAGGTTGATATGTTAACCCATGCTTGGTCTTTAACAATCTGTAAAAATTGTAGCTGATTTCTTCTTACCCACTTGTATGTTGCCCACTGCCTGCTCTTGTGCTTTACCAGGTAACACATGTCCCCCACTCCTTGCTTTGCATCCTCACCTCACTAATGAGCTAAGGAAAAGTTACGATTGTATAATTTTATCTTTTTCTCATTGGATGGGAGTGACATTTTTTGCAAATTTTTATATTAAAATTTAAATAGAATAACTGAACTGTTTTAGTAAGCATAGATTTTAAATTCTACAAAATCATGCATTTAGGAAAAAATTGGGGACACTACAAACCTGAAATGAATGCATGCTGGGCTTAATACCTAGGTGATGGGTTGTTGGGTGTAGCAAACCACCATGGCACACATTTACCTATGTAGCAAACATGCATATCCTGCACATGCACCCCAGAAATTAAAAAAAAGGAAATAAAATAATTTAAAAAAAGAAATTTAGATATTTTTAGAACATGGTCAGTAATGTAATTGTGCAGGTAATCTTCACATTTTTGTACTTGGTATTTTCCTACTTTTAGTTTCTTTACTGCTTGCTTCTCACCAGTGTTTGAACAGTATGGTAGATGGACTAAACGTACTTTTTTATACTCCCAAACCTAATGGAATTATCATTTATCCAGTTGTTCACACCAGAAATCTGGGAGGCCAGACATCACACCTCGCTCATCTCTATCATCCAGGCCATCCGCAAGTTCTCCTAAATATTTCTCAAATTATTTTCAATCACAAAGCCAGTACAAAAATCCAGGCCTTAATTTATCTTTGTACTCTTTAAAATGGTTATTATTTATTCATTTATTATCATTACTATTTTTTTTAAAGTGACAGGGTCTCACTCCATTGCCCAGGCTGGAGTGCAGTGGCACAATCATAGCTCACTGCAGCCTCAAACTGCTGGGCTCAAGCGATCCTCCTGCCTCAGCCTCCTGAGTAGCTGGGACTATGGGCTTATGCCACCACACCTGACCAATCTCTTTGTACTCTTGAAATATTCTTATAGTCTCTCATCTCCATCCATTCCCACTTTTCCATATCTACCACAGTAATCTTTTTAAAAGGAGATATGATTCTATAACTTCTTTATTTAAAGTTTTTATTGGGTCCCCATAATCTTCAATTTTCACAAAAATTCTTCATTCTATATGGTCTATGAGCCTCTCCCCTTTCTTCACCAAAAATTACTCTGACTCTAACATACCACTGTAATTTACAGCCTCATCTTACCATATTTTTTGGTTTTAGTCAAACCCAGAATTCTTGCAATTTCATATTCTCTATTATATACAATTTCATGATTTGAACATTGTGTTTTAGAGCAGTGGTTTCTCATTCTTGGCTGTATGGGAACATAAGAAACGTTTAAATTTGGGCAACTTTAAAAAATTCCAGTGCCCAAGCTACATCGTAAACCAATTAAATCAGAATGTCTGGGGGTGGTATCAAGGCATCATCATTTATTTTAGGCTCTCCCAGGTGACTCCAGCATACAGCCAAGTCCCACCTCCCACTCCCCACTCTTATCGCACCTCCAACATGATTATCTAATTTGTTTAAATCTTGTTAATTTTTTAAAAATTCACGTGTGGCGATGACTCTTCTTGGGACCTTTCTTGACAACCCACACCCTTGCCACAGGGCTGTGTACCCCATAGCATCACGTACATACTGTACTCTGCAGAAACTGAGGAATTAGAACATATGTAATTGAAATGTCATTAATTGAACACTCAAAGTGCCAACTCTTGATAATATGTGAAACTACCTTGACTATAATTTTCAATGGGGGATGGGACAGCCAAGCCCAGCCCAGAAGTCAGCAGACATTTTCTGTAAATACAGTATTCTACTTTTAGCAATAGTATTTTATTTTACTTAAATAGAAAATGTAGTAAATATTAATATTTTTGGCTTCATGGGCCATATAATCTCTGTCTCAATTACTCAGCTCTGCCATTGTAGCTTGAAAGTAGTCATAGACTACTATGAATGAGTTTGTTCCAATAAAACTTTATGAACACTGAAATTTGAGTTTCCTATGATTTTTACATGTCACAAATTATTGTTCTTTATATATTTTTTTCTTTTCTTTTCTTTTTTTTTTTTTTGAGACGGGGTTTCACTCTGTCACCCAGGCTGGGGTGTGGTAGCATGATCATGGGTGACTGCTGCAGCCTTGACCTCCTGGGCTCAAGTGATTCTCCCGTCTCAGCCTCCTGGGTAGTGAGGGACCACAGGAATGCACAACCATGCCTGGCTAATTTTTTAATTTTTTGTAGAGACAGGGCCTCATGCTGGTCTTGAACTCCTGGGCTCAAACAGTCCCCCTGAGTCAGTCTCCCAAACTGCTGGGATTACAGGCATGAGCTACTGTGCCCAGCTTCTTGATTTTAAAAAATCATTTCAAAATCTAAAAACCATTCACGAAGACTATACAGAGACAGGTGGTAAACTAGATGTGACTCATGGGCTATATTTTGCCGACCCTTGATCTGTATAGCACTTTTCCAAATTATAAATGTATCATCTCTCTGAGAGTCTAGTAAGTCCCCTATGTGGGACATGTCCCCAAATTCAGAAGTCATTGCTGTTAGAAAATGGGTGCAAGTTCTACACTTCAGATTTGTTGGTATAATAAAAAGCTTGAAATAACCCAATTTGGACACAGATTATTTAAATATGTAATATGGACCATTTCTATAAAGAAGGTGATGGTATAAAGAAAGAAAAAATATATATATAAAATATATAAATGGTATTTTCAGCTTGATTTCTAGAATGTTTAGTGCATAGTAAGTTTTCAGTATTGACTTGCTAATGACTTTTAATAGAGAGGTTGGGTTCTCTGTATTTTTGAGGATTAAAAAAATAGTCTAATGAGATAGGTTTTGTTGTTTTAATGACTTTCGGAGTTTTAAATAAATACCTCTTATGTAACTTTATCCTAGAGTAGTGATTTCTGTCTCTACTGCATACCCAGTATGCAGTAATTCTCATGAGCAGCTCAAGTTGAGAACCATTGATCTAGCAGAGCATCTTCTCCTTTATTTTTATTTTTTTATTTTTTATTTTTTATTTTTTGAGACAGTCTTGCTGTGTCGCCCAGGCTGGAGTGCAGTGGCGTGGTCTTTGCTCACTGCAAGCTCCACCTCCTGGGTTCACACCATTCTCCTGCCTCAGCCTTCCGACTAGCTGGGACTACAGGTGCCCGCCACCACGCCCAGCTATTTTTTTTTTTTTTTTAATTTTTAGTAGAGATGGGGTTTCGCCATGTTAGCCAGGATGGTCTCGATCTCCTGACCTCATGATCCACCTGCCTCAGCCTCCCAAATCTTCTCCTTTGATAAAGAATAGAATGAGAGCCAGGCATAGTTGTACATGCCTGTAGTAGCAGCTACTCAGGAGACTGAGGCAGGAGAATCGTTTGAGCCCAGGAGTTTGAGTCCAGCCTGGGCAGCATAGCAAGACTGCTATCTCTTAAAAAAAAAAAAAAAAATGAAAAACTAATTTCTAAAAATATTATATTTGCAGTAAAAATGTGTGTAAAATATTTCAGACCAGTTTAAAATAGTAAAGAATGTATAAAATGATATCATTCATCTCATATCTTATCTCTAAAAGCCATTGTTAGGTCTTCTTCCATTTGGTTATATGTTTTCTATACAGATATGAAAATGTACTTTTTTAAACAAATAGGATTATACAATATGTACCATTCTTTGACTTGTTTTTACTCAGTATTTTTTAGACATCTAGAGAAATTCATTTCTCATAAATAATGTTGTTGAAGGATTAAAAACAAAAGCACAGAAGATAATTTTTTAGTGGCTTGGCAACCAGAGCTGATGAAAGTTACAGATTGGGAGCAGAGCTATTTCTAGTATTGTTTGGAGGCTGGAACAGATCATAACTCTGCTGCCTTTTACCCCACCAAAAAGTAACACACTGCAACAATCCAGGCAAAATTAAGGTGAGGATTATAGACAGTCTTGAGTGGGGAAATGTTACCAAAGGAATTTCTGAGATACGTTCTGGAAGAAGGGATATTCCCTTCCAGAGAATTATGGTGATTATAGGCATGAGATGCTTCAAAGTTTCTGTTGTTTTTTTGTATTACATTTTTAAAATGTTTGTTTTGTATTTTTTCAGCACTAGCAAAAGTCTCTCTGGCTTCCTCCCTTCATTGTTACCCAATTGCTAGAAGCTTGGATGAGGTGGGGTATGAGTGGAGAGAGAAAACTGTGAGCCTCTGGGTGTTCACTTTAGCATAGACAGTTTAAGAAAAGGCTGTGATATTCCACTCCTGTCTTTTTACTAGGTGTTCTTCCTAGGACCTTGGGCATCTGCTTTTGCTCTAGTCCTTAGGATCCTGCGGTTCTCTTCACCTGAACTAATCCAGTAGGTTTCATGTATTTGCCGATAGTGATTGGGCCTTAGACTTTAAGTCTTGCTTATCCAGAGTTGATCAAAATCTTTAGGGTCCCTGTTCACTCATGAGGTTATGTTGATCTGTCAGGTAATTCAAAATAATAGTAATAACACAAAACCTAACATAACTGTTAGGTTATGTTTTCTATCATTTTTTCCATCATAAAGAGTATGATTTTTTAAAAGAGAGAAAGAAATATAAAAGTAAATCTGACATTAGGGTACTTTGTTCATGTTCAGTCTGATGAAGGAATAATCCTGGACTGGTCATTGGAAGACCATTTGAAATTCTATTTTAATTTTATGATTATTTTGATACCTTTGGTTTTTATAAAACATTAAACTGAAATTTTACTTTGCCTTCTATTAGGTAGATTTATTGTTGAGATCATAGCTACATATTCAGTAGTCAAACAACACTACTTTTTTATAATGTCAGATAATTTCCTGTTCACAGTGTTAAATATAGTCAATAAATAAATTATTTCCTCTAATTGTATTATAAGAACTTTTTTAAATGGGCGTGAGGTACAAGGCGGATTGTTGACTTTTGTATTGAAGAGCCTGTGGTTGTTGCAGAGCCTTTCCTTGTCTCAGGGTAAGTTGAGAAAAGAGCTCCCTTGATGAAAATATACACCCCCATATTCTACTCCCTTATATTCTCACTTTATTAGGTTCACTTAGGAAAACTGTATCTTTCAATATGCAAATATCTGCTGAGCAAGTTGGGGTTTTTAAATTTTAATGTATTTATTATAAATTGAAGCCATTTGTTTGAGAGTAATGATCTGAAATACTGTTTCCCTGAATGCTGGAAGAGAAAAGCCTCTAAAAGGCAAGTTTTGTCTATATTTCCGTAATCACTAGCATCTATCTTGTATGCCATTGAGAAGCATGCATGGTAGTTTAACACACACTGTAAAATATATCAGATGTATCTTCTTTGAAATAATTTCAAATTGCATGAGTCCATTCTACGTGCCAGTTCTTAAGAATTTGGCAGGGTAAAGCTGATTTTAAAAAAATCTTTCTATTCTTTCGTTTTTTAAGATTAAACTTTTATTTTGAGATTATAAGAATCACAGTTGTAAGAACCAATACATAGAGAGCTTATGTACCCTTTATCCAGTTTACCCAATAGGAACATCTCAGAAATCCACAGTATAATATATCAACCAGGATATTAACATTGATGCAATCCACCAACCTTATCCAGATTTTGCTAGTATTTCTTCTACACTTGTACTCTTCTCTATTGTGTATTTAGTTCTATACAATTGTATCACTTACATGTATATCCACCACTATAGTCAAAGAAGAAATCCATTACCACAAAGATCACTCATGTTGCTTTTTAATAACCATACCCTCCTTCCTTTTTAAGGAGTTTTTGTTTCGTTTTAAAATTCTTAGTCATTTATGGTCTTGACCTAAGTATTTTTCAAATTTATATCATGCTTTTAAATTTTTTACTTTTTAAAAAAAATTGGTAAAAACATAACTGATGAAGCATACTCGCTGTTGACTGGGGGCAGTGGCTCACGCCTGTAATCCTAGCACTTTGAGAGGCCAAGGTGGGCAGATCACCTGAGGTCGGGAGTTTGAGACAGCCTGACCAACACAGAGAAACCCCATCTCTACTAAAAATACAAAAATTAGCCAGGCATGGTGACGGGCACCTGTAATCCCAGCTACTTGGGAGGCTGAGGCAGGAGAATCGCTTGAACCTGGGAGGTGGAGGTTGCAGTGAGCTGAGGTTACTCCACACCAGGCCCCCCTCCCCGCCAAGAAAAGGCACTCACTGTTTTCTCCTCCCTCACACAGATCACTTCTGTGACAAGTGATGTGTGGTTTTTTTCCCACACCAAGCAGTTCTCTAGGATACCAACTGGGTGTCCTACAGTTCAGTTCAGTTCTGACATTTACCTGGTGTTAGCATCCAGTCCCGCAGGTTAAAGGCACAGTCCCAGAAACGACTCCCATTTAGACACCAGTAGAAAGTCTGCGCTTCCCATATTTGTGACTGACTGTAAGTCGGGGGTTCCCATTGACCCCTCCTCAGGTTTCATCATTTGCTAGAACAGCTCATAGAACGCAAGGAAACACTTCACTGGTTATGGTTACTGGTTGATTTTAAAGGTTACAACTTGAGGCCAGGTGTGGTGGTTCTCGCCTGTAATCCCAGCACTTTGGGAAGTTGAGGCAGGAGAATTACTTGAGGCCAGGGGTTCTAGACCAGTCTGGGCAGCACAGGCAGATCCTGTCTCTACAAAAAATATTTTTTAAAAACTAGCCAGGCGTGGTGGCCCACATGTGTAGTTGTAGCTACTGGGAAGACTGAGGCAGGAGGATCACTTGATCCCAGGAGATGGAGGCTGCAGTGAGCTGTGGTCACGCCACTGCACTCCAGCCTGGGTGATGGAGCAAGACTCTGCCTTAAAAAAAAACAACAAAATCATATGGTATTCATTTGTGATGATTTATTTCACTTAGCATAATGTCCACAAGGTTCATTCCTGTTGTAGCATGTGATAAGATTTCCTTCCTTCCCTTTTAAAACTGAGTAATTTTTCCGTTGTATGTGTACCATGTTTTATTTATCCATTCAGGGACTCTTGAGTTGCTATCACCTCTTGGCTATTGTGAATAATACTGATAAACATGGGTGTGCCAATATCTCTTTGAGATTCTGCTTTTAGTTCTTTTGGGTATATACCCAGAAAGTGGAATTGTTGGATCATATGGTAGTTTTGTTTTTAACTTCTTGAGGAGCCTCCATACTATTTTCCACAGCAGCTGCATCATTTTACATTCCTACCAACAGTAAATATCTATGTTTAATGATATTTGGATACATAGGTTTTGATTCATCCATTTTAATTCTTTAATGACTATTTTATTGACTTTTCTTTTACAATTGATAGTGACTACCTAGCCCAAATCACAGATGAGATACTTTGTATTATAGAATGTTTGCATATCAAGGATGATCCTCAAGGTGACATCTAAATATTTTAGAGTCAGCTCTTTCAGGTATAAGTGAGAGAATCCTTATCTGAATAGTTTAAGTAAAAAGAGGGATTTTATTAAATGGGAACTGGGATGTGACATTGAATCTAAGGATGGTAATGAGTCAGGCCTTAGAAATAACTCATTAAGGGACTTGATTCTCTCTTGTCTTTGATGGATCTTTTTCCTTCTTGTACTGTGGCTTTCATCATGCGACGATGAAGTAGCTTCACAAATCTTGAGCCTTTCTGCTTCAGCTACCCAAAGAGCAAGGACACTCAGTTGGTCCCAATCCAGAAGTCCCAGGGGAAGGGAACGATTGGCCCAGCTTGGATCGATTGCCTTTCTTTCCACCCTCACTACAGTATGGTCAGGGAGAAGGAGTCAGTGCAAGGACATCTGTGGGAACTATATGGAGTGACTGGGAGGCAGTCGGGTGGCCAGAAGGAAAGGGAATGAATGTGAGACAGAGAATGAAGAGTGTGCTTGTCCACTGTCTCTTAAGCTGAGATGTCAGTGAACAGTCGATTGAGGTCACAGTGGGGAGATAATATTGGAGCTTGAAAAGTTCTGGATAAGGAACACTAAGATGACTAGAGGCAAATAATTTATCTGACTGATTTTTTAGTATACCAAGTTCAGGGCCACAAGGAGAAAATGACTGAAATTCTTAAAGATAAAAGGTAAAAATCATTGACTGATTTCTGGAATGATTTGAATTAGAATTACAAGGTAGTTAAAAACATTCTTAACACTGCTATTTAGGGTAGAAAATAAAAAATTCTATTTCAAACAGTAATTTTATAATTCTAAGAAGTTTACAAATATATCAGGGGTTTAATATAAAATTGATGGATGATAGCTATGTAATAGGGGCATTTAGAAGAAATTAGAGTATAGTGTTAACCTTTTGAAGCCATGGAAGGAATTATTTCCCCATCAGGCATCAGCGATGATGATAAAACTTATAATGTATTCAGTGCTACTTGTGTCAGGCACTGTGTGAAGCATTTTTCTATGTATTATGTCATTTAACCTCCCAAACCATAGGTGCTCACTGTTTGTTAAATTGAATTTTCTAAGTTGTGTTTCAACAGATGATTAATACTTTGCTTTTCCTTTCAGAGATGTGGTACTGGATCTTCCTCTGGGCTCTCTTCTCTTCTCTGTTTGTCCATGGTGCTGCAGGAGTGTTGATGTTTGTGATGCTGCAGAGGCATAGGCAGGGAAGAGTCATCTCTGTCATTGCAGTCAGCATTGGATTTCTGGCTTCTGTAACTGGAGCGATGATTACCAGTAAGTTGATTTTCTTTTGTCTGAGGATGTAAGTTTGTATACACTTACCATTTTGGTAGCTGTGTTCTTATTATACATGTAACATTAGTGAGATCTTTTATGTAGATTATTTTTCAACACTTAACACACTCCATCTAGAAGATAAAGATGAGCTGATTTATTCATTGAACAGACAAGTCGTTGTAATTCTGCTGTGTGAAGAGTCCTTTTACAAGGTTTTGAGGGAAATAGAAAAATTCATAAAAATTGGCAAGAGGCAAGGCAGGTCAATGGGAAAATTCACAGTGATTATAGTTTCTGCTTTCAAGTTGCTCATTTTCTAGGAAAAAACAAAGGCATAAAAATATGTCAGTGATAATTATCATAAGCAAAAGTATAGCCCTGAGGTCCTTAATGTCATCTGCCTGTGACTACAAAATAAAATTGCACTTTCTTCTTATATACACATTATTATGGCCTACTAGAAATGAGCTGTGCTAGAGTGTCTTCTAGTGCTTTGCAGGTTTCCTGCTGTGCTGCCTCATGAGCTTTTTTCAGACAAGTTTTCAGGTTCATTCCCTCTGGACTTCTCTGTTTAACACTGTACTTAGGCCCAAACTCCAGCCTTGACTTCAAAGAATTAGTTTATGGTTTTGTTATCAGCAGAAGGTATCCAAGTTACCAGCAGCAAATCCATACAGGTCTGCAGCAGCCTCAGTTCTTACCTCCTCAGAAGAAATAATTCGACTGAGGGGTGTAAGACAGAAAAAGACACCAAGGCAAGCTTCAGAGCAGGAGTGGAATTTAAAAGCTTTAGAGCAGGAAAGAAAGGAAAGTACACTTGGAAGAGACACAAATGGGCACTTTGGAGGTCAAGTGCCCCATTTAACCTTGGTGCTATGACTTGCTGGCCCATTTCCAGTGTCTTGCACCCCTTTTCCTTCATTCTTCCTTTAGGGTGAGCCACCCGCATGCGCGGTGTCCTCTTTACACTTGGGAGGCGAGCATGCGCAGTGTGTTTAAGAAGTTGTATTCATGCTCATCTGAGGCTTTCTTCCGTTTTCCGGTGGAATGCCCCCAAAGGTCATACTCCACCATTTTGTTTTAATGCACATGCTTGAGCCCACTTACGCATTTCCTGAGATTTTATTGGAAGCTACTGGTTACCAATTTCAAGTGTTTTTATCCATTGGGAAATTGCCTCTCCCTGGTGCCTGTGACCAATTATCATTTTAGTGTGACAACTGCCGGACCATCACCTGATGGTCACCTGACATTCCTGGTGGGTGGGGGCAGCCCTCTCCTGCCCCACTCCTGACAACCTACCTATTGTAACAATTTCTGCAGCCACTGGTTGAGCAGAGCTTAGGTGTGTACCCTGTTGAGACTGGAGCGTGCCACATCTACTTGCTTAGTGTGGTTGTGCCAGGAACCGGGTGCCTCTCTGAGCTGCTGTTGATTCTGTGACTGCCAATGCAGAGTACATGTGTCTGTTGCCCTTCACGTCTGGCCTATTCCCATATGTCAGGGGCAGCTCACTGCTACCACTGGATCTGTTTTGGGACTCTCTGACAGTTTCTTCTTCCTTTCTAGTTGATTCTTGCCTCAGAGATAAGAAGGCAACCTTGTCTTTATGATGCAAGGGATTCCCTTCTTTACCCTTTCCAGAGTGATTGACATCCTTTGTCTTGAGAGGAAAGCCCTACTCCCATGTTCCTGGGTATGTCCTATGGCACTAATAAGACAACCATAAAATACTTGTGGGAAATGGGGAGGAGTCTGTTTTCTTATCCTTCAATTGCTATTTTTTGTTATCTTGTGTTAAGTTTTTATAGTTGCTTTTGTTGTTTCTGCATTCAACCTATAATTTGATGATATGGATGGTACCTCATATGCTTTGTCATAGACGGGGTTTTAAACAGGTACTCAGGTTTAGCTAAAGCACATGGTCTGCTTAATAGGAGTAGTACCAGATTCAGTAGGAAAGATAGAACCGAGCCAGATTCCAGAGGGCCTTGGAAAGCTATCTGGGAAGTTTGGGCTTTATTCTGCCGGCCATGGAAAACAAATGGATATTTTTGAATGCAGTTGGCAAGGGACAAGCAGTTCAGTGGGAAATTTTGTTTTATAGTTGAATATAGAATTAATGTAAAGAAGCAAGAGAAAACCCTGAAAGAGCAGAGACCTGGTCTGTCTTCATCACTGCTCGATCCCCAAAAATAAAACAGTACCTAGAACATAATGGATATGCAAAACATATAGGTTTGATGGATAGGAGTGAGAGAGGAAGAGAGGGAGGAAAGGAAAGAAAGAAGAGGGGATAGGGAGAGAGAATAAAGAGGAAGGAAGAGGAATTAAGAGGCATTAACTGTAATCTAAACTTGAGGCCAGGTTCTGAACTAGAGTAATGGCCGTAGGTTGGGAAGGAAGGAGTTAATGTAAGAACCATACAAAGGACAAAAAATCTAAATTAGTTATTCATTGTGGTGGCATACAAACAGATATGAAAGGGGCTGCCAGTAGTTTTTGACATGGCCACTGTTGTAATTGTGCAACCATGAACAGAGGGGGAAGGAAGAAGGAGCAGCTTGTTTGGAAGTTTAAATGGTATGTGTATATATATATATGTATTTATTTGCATATATTATTGCAAAAGTTTAAAGAGAGCATGAGAAATGGAATTCTTCCATTTATCTCTGATGATATGTGTGTATATATAACCCATTTTCAATTCAGTCAAGAATAAAGTAAGCCAGTGATTTTAGAAACTGCAGTGTTATATTTTTAAATCCTTAAAAATGTAAGTCTGACACAATTTCAAGTAAAAATTTGTGTCCATATTAGCAATAAAACATTTAATTTTTTTCTGGCTAATTATCTGACCTGCAAACAGGTGAATTAGGAAAACTAGCCAATGTGAATAGTGATATTTATTTTCTTAATACAAGTTGTGAATACTAGTGCACTCATAGCTGTATCTTCAGTTCAGTTATTGATTGCTAAATACCTATATTCAGTAAGATGCTGACTGAATATAGTTACATATTCATTATATTTTGCTACTTCTTAGATTTTATTTTGAAACTAGAGTGATTTTTCATATAGTGTTTTTAGTTAATACCAGAATTGGGAGAAACTGGTTTCTATATAATGTCTAATTTTAGCTGTTTAATTTTAGCCAGTCTAAAAGTGTAAAGTAAGTTCTCATTGTTGGTTTAATTTGCATTTCTGTGATTATTAGTGAATTTGAGCATCTCTTCTTATGTTTATTATATATTTAGGTTTTCTTTTTTACAGATTGCTTCTTTAAATTCTGTGGTTTTCTTTTGGTATTCTTGTTTCCTTTTTATTAGGTTACAGATATTTTTATATATTAGAGATATTGACCTCTTGTTGGTTTTGGACTTTGCAAATAATTTATCTCAGTCTTTTATCAGTTACCTTCATCCATGATATCATTTACGGAGCAGAAATCCTTAGTTTCGACATGATCAACTGAAAGGGTTTTTGTCTTATGGTTTATACTTAAAGATTTTATTAAAGAAGTTATCCTCCATTCCATTGCCAAAAGATATTCTGATATATTTTCTTCTATTAATTTTACAGTTTTTCCTTTTGTATTAAGGTCTTTAATTCACCTGTAGCAGGAAGTGGCAAACATTTTTGTAAAGGGCCAAGTAATAAATATTTTAGATTTCGCAGGCTAGTGGTCTCTGTCACATTATTCAGTTCTGCCAAGGTAGTGCAAAAGCAGCCATAGACATATGTAAATGAATGCTCATGGCCTGTTTCAGTAAAACGTTATTTCTATTTACAACAGAGGCATCGGGCATTCAGGCCATAATTTATCCTCCATATAGAGTCTACCTTTGTTTTAGGTATTAGATAGGATTCTATGTGTTTTTTTCCCCCACTGCCATATAGTAAATCAGTTTTTATCATGCCAAACACTAAAAAATTCATCATTTCCTTGTTGATTTGTAGTGCCACCTTTATTGTATATTACATTCTCAAAGTACAGGGATCTGTCTCTGAACTCTATTCTGATTCATTGGTCTTTTTATCTATTCTTGTAGAAAGGTCACTTTTTTTTTTTAATCCCAGTGGTTTTGTGGTATATCTTAATATCTGTCAGGAATAGGTCCCTCTTGTTACTTTCCTTTCTCAAAGTTAACAGCTGTTGATGGGCCTTTATTCTTTCATATAAATTTTAGACTATGTCTACTGGATCGCTCAAAAAGTATGATAATGATTTTTATTAGGATTTAACTGAATATAGAGGATAATTTGGGAAGAATTGCCATATTATATCACCCAAGAACATGTAGTGTAGCTCTATTTATTGAGATCATCTTTTACGTCTTTTATTAGAGTTTAAAAATGCTTTTCTCAATAGGAAGTTTGTATACTTTTTATGAAGTTAATTCCCAAACTCCTGTTATGGCTATTGTGCATGGATATCTTTTGATTACATTGTTTAGTTTTATTGGTGTGGAGAAATACTATTAAGCTTTGTAAGTCAGGTATATGAAAGATTAACAAAAAACTGGTTCTTTGGAGAGATAAGATGAATAGACTGCTGGCAAACTAAGAAAAAAGGGTTAAGGCAGAAGAGTAAAATACAGAGCATAATAGAAGAAATACTAAATCTCAATAATAAAGATAGAGAATTATAAAAATAAAATAGTTTTATGAACAGCTATACCTAAATATAAAATGTCAAAATTTGACATAAGGGGAAATAGAACATATGAATAGGAAAATAATTATTTTTGCCAATTGCAATATTAAAAACCCTTCTTCCAAAAAACTCCAGGCCCAAAGGGGTTTACAGGAGAATTCTACCAAACTTTCAAGAACAACTAGTTCATATTTGATCCAAGTTACTGCAGAAAATAGAAAGAATAAAAGCTGTGCACAGCTTGTTTGCAGAGGTCAGTGTAATCTTGTTGCTAAACAAGATGAGGGCTACACCAGAACCTTAGGAATTGCTATTCTTGGAATGCAAAGATAATTCAGTATCAGAAATGAGTGCAGCTGTATTTCAAGAAAACATTATTGATGGACACTAAAATCAGAATTTCATATAATTTTCATGTATCATGAAATGTTAATCTCTGGATTTTAAAAAATCACTTTAAAAATGTGAAAACTATTCTTAGCCTGCATGCTGTACAAAATAGGTGGGTGGGCCAGATTTGTGGATTGTAGTTTGCCAACCTCGATCTAACTATGCAAACTGATAGAATCAACACATTATCAAAACTAATTCTTGCCTTAACCTTGTTCTATTTTTTTTTCTGTTTTTCCACCCATAGCTCTTTGTGCCTCTTCACCCTTAACCTTTATCATATGCTTGCTTTTTTTTTTTTTTCTTTTTCCATTTTAGAGATAGAGTCTGGCTCTGCTGCCCAGGCTGGAATGCAGTGACACACTCATACCTTACTGTACCCTTGAACTTCTGAGCTCCAGTGATCCTCCCAACTCAGCCTCCTGAGTCGCTAGGACCACAGGCTATCATTTGCTTTCTGTCAGGAAATACACAGGGCAGATCACATCACTTTTCATTGGAATGCTCATCTGCAGGCACTTGATGTTGTGTATCAGTGTTTTCTGTCTGCTGATGACTCTCCTGTTCCCCTTCGTTCTTGTAGTTTTGTATATTTTACTCACCTTCAGATCATCTTGGCAGTATTGCTTTCTCCACTTCATTTGGGATCTTTCCTTATTTCTAATTGATCATGTTTGCCACTGTTGACAGTGGCAGATCCGCATGCGTTATTTATTTCAAGAACCCTATCCCACTTCTCTGCATGCCTGCATATATTAGCCTCATAAATCACCAAGAAAATAAAGATCTTAATGTACTCTTTCAACTAGCTGTTGTTCAGCAAGACACCCTAAGGAGAGTGAAAACTAAAGAACAAACTGGGGTAAGATATTTGTTAAAATAATATATAACTTCATATAATTGTAAAAAGATTAATATCTAGACTATATATTTTTTAAAAACCCTGTGACTCAAGTTATAAAAAGACAACCCGGTAGAAAAGTGAATAAAGGACTTAAGCATTTCATAGAAGTAGAAACCCTAATGGCTAATAATATGTGAAGAGAAACTCAATCACATTAATTGCCAAGGATTTGTAAATTAATCAGATAGATAATATCTCTTACCCACTAGATTGGCAAAAAAAATTAAAAAACAAAAAAGGATGTCACCTGCCTCTGAGGATATGGAGTAACTGAAATACACATTGGTACAGCTAATTTAGAAAAATAATTTGGCACTATCTAGTCAAGTTGAAAAGGCCCATACCATAGGGCTGAGCAGTTCTGGTTTTACCCGTGGGTCATGGAGAAACTCTTGACTGCATGTGTGTGCTAGGGGTCGTAGACAAGAACATTCACAGGAGCAGTGTTTGGGATTGTAAAGGACTGAAAACAAAGACATGTTGTTGGCCATAGAATGGATAAATAAATTGTGGTATATTCATACTTGGAATTCTGTATGGCAGTGAAAATGAATAAGTTATAGCTGCATACAAGGAATATAGTTATTTCCTACTATATTCCATAATATATTTATGCCCTGCTATTTTAAATCAAGAGTTTATTTAACTTTTTCATTGTATACCAATATTTTTATTTGATAAATAGGATTGAAAGATATCCTGGCATTTAAAATGAAATATCTTTCATATCCTGACATTTAAGATGAAAGTTTCTTGGAATTTTAGGGGTGTTTTAGGCAAGTTAGGTATAGAAGTTAAGTTAGAGTTTAAAAATTTTATTACGTGAGTAATATATGATTATATTCATTATGTAAAACTCAAAACATTATAGATAGAGCAAAGCCCCTTTTGACCAACACTCTCAAACTAGTGCTCTTCTCAGAAGTAAGCCCTATTTTCAGTTTGGTATGTATCCGCCAGATATTTGTTGATGCATTACATTCATTCATACATATTTACATACATACCGCATACATACACACATACATATGTATGTATGTACTAGTAGAGAATATGTATTGTTTTATGTTTTATTTTCTTTGTTACCTAAATGATATATCTAAGTTATTTTTATTTCAGTTCATACAAATCTATATTTTCCTTTTGAAATTGTATGGGTTCATGGTATGGACTTCATATAGTTTATCTCCAACTGATGGTGGACATTTGTTTTGTTTTTGTTTGATTACAGAAATGCTGTATTGATTGTGTGTGTTTATGCATGTATATATGTGTGTTTATATTCTAAATATTAATCATCAGTTTGTTTTGCATATAGCAAATATTTTTCCAGTCTGTTCATTGATGTGAAACCTTTATGGGTTTTACCCTTTTTTTGTGGTCTTAAGATCTCTTTTCCTAGGATCATAAACATAATTCTCTTACATTTTAAAGTTTAGATGTGTACTTTTGTTTTTAACATTTAGTTATTTAATCCATCTGAAATTTATTTTGGGGAATGGTGTGAAGCAGGGACCTAAATTTATTTTTTTGAAATGGCTACCAGTCATTCCAACACCATTTATTGAATGGTGAATCACTGATTGGAATTATCTTTATCCTTTACTACTATGACGACTACTAGCCAAAATTTGTTGAGTACATACTAGGATCGTCCACTGTTTTAAGCACTTGACAAGTGTCATCTCTTAATCTTCGTGCCCACCTATTTTACAGTGGAGGAAGCAAGGCATGGGAGGCTGTGATTGTCCAGTGTAACACAGTTGCTAAGTAGTGGAGCTTGGATTTTAATCCAGGAGCCTGGCTCTACAACCCATGCTCCTCACCTTATGTAAGCATGCAACGTTTGAATTGACACAGTTGTTTGCCATTTCGCAGGCAGCCTGAGCTAGTAATTGCTTCGATTTTCCCCTTGCTGTGGATCATGATTGAAAACTTAGTATCAGAGGGATGGAGGCTAAAATGTGGTTTTTAAAATGGAAGATAGTCATATAAATCTAGGATGAATCCAAAGAGAAAGAGTATTACTCTAGTTTATTTTAACATAATTTCTGATAACAAAGGTGTAGGATACTTAATATTTTTAAAGAATGTCATCTAATCCTAAAATTTGGATATGTGACCAATTATACAAGTGATTTCATTGTTTGGTTAAGTAAATGTTGGTGCTACTAGGAGTTTTGAGATGCTTATTAGCTACTTTATCATTCTCTGAATTCTTCGTTCTCATTTTCACTTAGTATAAATATGAAGTGATAGAATGATTTTGGGATTTATAGCCAGACTAACCTGGATTGAAAAATCCCGGCTCTTGTACTTGCTGTATTTCCTGGGGCTAGTAACTGAACCTCTCTGAACCTCTGTTTTTTTCATCTTTAAATTAGGTGATAATACTGAGGGGGTGGTATGATATTTAAATATGATAATATTTGTAAAGTTCCTGCAAAATACATAGTATATGGTAAGTACACTATTTTAATTTCCTTTTATTTTAAAACATGTATATGAAAGTCCTTGGCTTAGGTTAGTAATTTGCTTTTCCTGTTTACATCTCTTACAGAGCAATACAATAACTTTTATTTGGAAGATTTTGAGTGAAGTACAAATAATTAATCTTTAGCTAATTTTTTTCTAAGTTGACAAGTAAAAATTATATTCTAATTTTCATGAGTAGGTTTCCGTCTTAATTGTAATTGTCAATTCAGTATTTTCAGATAACTTCTCGTCTTTGTCTTATGTTCTTTTATCTAACCATTTTAGGATATATAGACAGTTTTTCTAGAAAAAGAGTTTTCAGGCCATCTCCATCTGTGGGATGGCATATTATAATTTAAATGTTTCCTCCTTTATGGTTCCTAAATGTACTTTTAAAGTTAGCCGCTTAGATACCACATCATTATGGATGGTCTGTGAAGATCAGATGTTGAATCAGATGAGCACTGAGGTTCCTCATACACTGAGATTCTCCCGTTCTCAGAAGTGTACATTACCTAAGGAACCTCACTAGAATAGATGTCAGGTTCATTTTCCATTCTTATTAGACGTCAAGATACTAGTCTCCAAATAACTTAGAGTCGGATGGTTTATTTAAAAAGCAAGAACTATTTTGTATGGTAGATTGTGAGATGGATTAGTCAGGTATTATATTTTACATGATATTTAAGAATTCATATTATTCAGAAAAGATACCTTTAATATTAAAATATTTATTAATAATTTAGAAATTACATTAAATTATGTTATTTTTCTGCATTATCACTTGTAATTATCAGTATGTTATACTGTATGTTTACAAAAATGCTAAAGAGGTCTAGTTAATTGAATGCCCAGGTGAGAGGTTGCAATAATGAATTATTCATTG